>NC_000013.11:73105075-73256590 GCF_000001405.40 Homo sapiens | reverse complement strand
CTCTCAGGAAATGAAAGGAAAGGAAACTAAAGGAGAGGAGACGGGAGGGGAGGGGAGGGGAGGGGAGGGGAGGGGACCAGAGGGAAAATGTCACTAAAAGGGGTGGGGATTGAGGAATAGAGAATAAAGGAGTATTACAAACCAGGCAGCTTGCTGAAAAAAGTAGACAGTGAGAAAGAAGCTCTTAAGGACCAAAAATTTTCGAGAGCTGCAATATTATCTACTTCTTCTTCTTCTTCTTTTTTTTTTTTTGAGATGGAGTCTTGCTCTGTCACTCAGGCTGGAGTGCAGTGGCACTGTTTCGGCTCACTGCAAGCTCCGCCTTCCAGGTTCAAGTGATTCTCATGCCTCAGCCTCCTGAGTAGCTGAGACTACAGGCGCCTGCCACCACGCCAGGCTAATTTTTGTATTTTTAGTAGAGGCAGGATTTTGCCCTGTTGACCAGGCTGGTCTCAAACTCCTGACCTCAGGTGATCTGTCTGCCTCGGCCTCCCAAGGTGCTGGGACTACAGGTGTGAGCCAACGTGCCCAGCCATTTTTTACTTTATTTTAATGATGCTATAATTTAAACTTCTTTTAGTTAAACAATTCCATTGCCCCAAAACTTCAGTGAATGTCTGCCATACACACAGCCTGAGAATGTGGACAGGAAGGACTTGGATGATGTTCTGTGTGGGGTGCACAGTGCATAAAAGGAACAGCACACAGATGTGAGTAAACCATGAACTGCACTAATCCACAGAAGAAGGACCCCAGGGCCAGAAGAAGCCAGGAGAAATGGAGGTGCCCTGTCCCCTCAATGACTTGAGACATTTGGAAAGACTGAGTCTCTCACTGCACATGGGACAAGGTATTTAAGCCAAATATCAAAAGACCAGTTGGCCCTGAGTGACATTTTGGATACAGATAATGTATATTCTCTCATCAAGACAACTGGAGGTCACACTTGGAAATCCAAAACTTGAACTTTAGAGGTATTCCATAACAATAGCAAAATTGATATTAGCAAATAAAATATAATGGCTCAAAACACATAATAAATGAAAAAAAGAAATTATTTAAAAAGTGTATATGAGTTTATATAACAAAATACACTTATAAAGAATAGCAAAGAATCATATATTTCTAAATAACTATAAAGTACTAAGTCCTCAACTCAGAAAAGCAAAAGGATATTAATGCTAAAATGTTCAAGTTATGCTCAGAAATAAAAAGCCTTTCTAATTAAGAAATAAAATATCTCCTTTTTGAAATAGGCCTGAAACAGGCACTGTAAATCTAAAATATAGATGAGAACAACTTAAACATTAGATGAAAAGAAAAGAAAATCATGTACAGGTTATACCTGATAAAATAGTGGCTCATTTTTAATTTCCTGCTAAAGGAAATGAATGAGTCAAAAGAATAGAAATTTCTGGTTAATGAGAGATCAAAGCTGAATGTGATCCAACTAGCAAAAGAAGAAAAGAAAACATTGAGAAAGATCATGAACGATAGATTCTGAAATCAGAACAGGTCTTTTAGAAAGCCTTGAGCCACGATGTGATAAGGACAAAATAGAAAAGGAAGAAGGAAGAGAGAATAATCCAGGGAATCCTTCCTGATGACTCAGGTAATGATCTGTAACCATTTCAAGACTCCAAATCCTCATGAGCAACAGCCTCTCTGGAATAGCTGAAGGGAGAAGATTCTCCCACCTCCACAAACTACAAGCTCCAGAGGATCTCCCTTTCCATCAACATGGTGAATCCCTGTATAACTCCATCTAGCCTGTGAGCCCCAGGAGGCTGGAGAGGAAAGCCATTCCCTTCTCGAGTGGCAAACTATCAGCTTCAGAGTGTGGTCATCCATGTTCACCCTTGCTTCTGACACCACTGACTGACTGTTTTATATGTGTTGAGTTTGTCTGTTGAGGAAATGTGTTCAAGCCCATGATTTTTCTATACCACTGCATCAAATTCAGTATGAAACATAACATGCATCATCAACAAATACTAAGAGACAGCTTTTTAAATGTTTGGAATATTTTTCCTAATTATTTCCTCCCACTTGGGATCAGAAAACTAAACAAAGTCATTTGTTTTCTCTTGGACATGTTTAAAGACGTCCACTCATCCCTCCACCTTTCTGGGCCTTGAGTCCTCATCTATATAGTAAGGAAACTTGACTAGGGACCTCTGACGTTATCCTCCAGCTCCAGCCTTCTGGGACTGCCTCAGCCTAAGCACACAATGGCATCTTTCCCAAGACATGTTCCTCCAATTCCCTATTTCCAGTCAGAAGCAAGAGAGGAGTGGGAGAGAGGCCTGGGTAGGTAACACAGCAGAGAATTTGTACCTTGGAGAATCAGGAGTCAGCAGAGTTCTCATCTTGACCTCCCCTCCTTCTTTCTTTCTTCCTGCTTTGCTCACCTCTCTGAATTGGCATTTACACATTTGATCCTCTCTGGGTCTAGTTCCTTTTCATTTTTTGGTTAGTAGCTCCAATAGAGGCCTGCAATAAACCAAGGAAAGGCTCATTGAAAGAGAAACAGATTCCCTTAGATGTACCATGAGGGATGGCTACATTTGGGGCATTCCAACTCAACTAAATGACCCACCTGGAAAAGAAACACTTCCACATTTGACCAGACACCCTCCCAAAATGTGTGTGTGTTTTTTTTTAGATGGACTTTTGCTCTTGTTGCCCAGACTGGAGCACAATGGCATGATCTCAGCTCACTGCAACCTCCACCTCCAAGGTTCAAACTAGTCTCCTGCCTCAGCCTCCCAAGTATCTGGGATTATAGTCATGTGCCACCACACCTGGCTAGTTTTGTAGTTTTAGTAGAGATGGGGTTTCACCATGTTGATCAGGCTGGTCTTGAACTCCTGATCTCAGGTGATCCACCTGCCTCGCCCTCCTGAAGTGCTGAGATTACAGGCGTGAACCACCGCGCCCAGCCCCAAAACGTCTTAAAGACTTAAAAAGACAGTTCTGCCAGCTCACTATTTACTGATCAGTGTCCATGTGCATTTCCAGTGGTCTGTCATTAAACACACTGGATCAAAAATCCCCATCCCCTGCCACTGCCAGCTCAAGCCAGCCTACAATTATTTCCAGTAGCTGGCTGTGACTTAAAACTCTGGTTAGAAGAAAGGCGAGACGTCACTTTAATGCAATTCTTGTGTTATCTGTGGAATTCGGTTTTTCATGCATACTCCTATCTTCCATCATCAAAGCATCCCTTAAAGGCCCATTTGGTTCTTTATCAAGACCAACACTAAGATTTACCTAGAAAATTTTCAGGTTAGCTTTGAGACTCACACATTCAGAAGACCTGAGGCTTGAAAATGACAGGACTGTAGGTGATACTAGAAGTGAGACAGGTTTCAAGCCATTCAGGTCAATACCGTACAATACTGTGGTGGTGACACCCTAGTTAGTTGCCGTGAAGCCATTCCAAGAGGCCATTAATTGATCCCAATGGACACCTAATGGCCTCTTAAAATAGAAGACTGTACTTAAGTGGAGATAGGAACATGCTAATTACATAACTCTTTTATTCAAGGTAGTCTTTGGATTTGGCCTCTAATTCTGATTCCTTCCCTGCCATCTCTACTAGAAAGTTGTAAGAAGTGAATCTCCATTCCACGTTATAAAATGATTTTAGGTTGATACACAGGGACATTTTATCATTTATTTCAGGCATTGACATACATTTAGTGTTTTTGATTTGTGAAGACGTAACAAAATAATTTCTAAAGACAAGAATGTCAGCACAATAAATAGGTTTGTTTCTAGGATATATCAGATGCTCGCTAAATGTGATCACTTCCTTTCAAAGTGAAGCACAGTAATTGCCTCCAAGGAATGATAAAGCCAAATGTCATTTTTTCTTATGTCAGTCTGCTGTAGTATCACCCAGTCTAGTAACACTTTATCTCCAACGGGAGAGAATTTTAAGGTTTGCTGTGACAGCTAAACAAAAAATCAAAACTACTGTGAGAACTCCAAAGAGCCTTCTTCAACAAAACTAATCAAACCACATTGTGTGCTTAATTATTTCTATTGTACCTTCAGACTAAAGAACTATAGGAGGGTTTTGTTTTGTTTTCCCCAATTTGCATTAGGATTTTGACGTATGGTCTTCTGTTGCTTTTAATAAAATCATGCTACTCCATTTAAGAAATATTTGCCATGAAATAAGTGTTTCAGCATGTTTTTGTTTTTTCAAATCTGAAAGGTCTACTCCATGATTCCCATTGTTCATACCCTTGGAATAAATTACTACAATCAGACCACATAGGGAGAAAAGTTAGCTCCCGATTATGAAAGGCATCAGTCCAAGAGGTAAAGTATTAATCAAACCTACTTTCGAACAATCCCATTCTCCTCATTAGAATGCATGCTCCCATCAGGCCACTTTAAAACAGCATTTTCATGAGTCACTGGTTCTTTATTTTGTTTCTGCTGAAATTGGGGTCCCTACAGTCAAAGTGAGTGGCTAACCTTACACCATTCTCCAGTGTCTCCCTGATAGCTTTATCTGGCTATTATAATTTGTCATTGTCAAACCATTTAGGCTTTTGGCTTTGGTCTTATTTTTCCTGCAGGTGTCAAAAATGCAAAACCACAATTTATAAAACACAAGATGACAGAATCCCATTTGCACTGGCTTCAAAATGCCAGAAGGTAACTTTATTTAAAATATCACAACCTCCTCTCCAAACTAGTTGCATGAGTTCCAGGGTGGTCTGAAGAGTTGATTCAAAAAATAAATGCCACTGCAGCAACTTACAATTCCTAAGGCCAAACATCCAGATGTGTCAATAATCTGTGTAAATTAGAAACAGATGTAAGCCCTTGTTGAAAAATAAATATAATAGAATTATTTCCTTTGCCTCCTTATGCTTTCACACACTTGAATTTATTTCTTTCACATTTTTTAGTTGGTTCAGTATTAAAAACAAAAATTATTTCTCTTTTCCACATGGGGTGTAGCTATGTATAAAGTTCTCCAGAAAAAGAAAAGAACAGTTAATTTTGTGCCTTATTTCATGCCCAGTGAAGCTAATCCAAGCACAGAGGCTTTCTGCAGTTAGTCGGTGATTACAATCCGACCAAATCTTCTGGGCTGTATTCTAGATCACTGTCGCCATGTAAAGTAATTGCCATCATCAAACCCACTCTTTGTTCCCATAAGGTTGCCCCAATTATAAGATAAAATAAACATTTTAAATATGGTAGAACTACATTTCTGACAACTTCTACTTACTTTCATTTGATGTAACAATAGAGTTGTTGTTTAGAGTTAACAAAGGATTTTTTTTTTTTTGCTTTTTTTTTTTGCTTTTTTTAACATCCTTTTTTAGGAGTGACCTTGTTTCTTAAATCCCATTTGTGTATGATAGGTGGAGATGAGGGACATGTGTGTGTCACTGGAAGTTTTTGAGAAGAGATCAATGGTTGTCAGTAGACAAAGAGCTGCAAGATAGATATCAGAGGTTTACTTTTCCTTAAAGCATAAATACCACAACCAACTGCACAAAGTCATTTATTACCCATGGACATCAATTAGAAAAGTTCTAGTGACTACAAGTTCTCAAATGCTGGGGCCCCTGGAGCCTTTTGTCCCTATCATAGTGGGATATAGGGAGGCGGATTTAGCTATTTAAGTGACCTCTGAAAAATTGCTTTAAAGAAAATGAGGCAGCTCCACATTCATCTCCTGACTCTCAAACACCATCCAAAATAGTAATAATGATAGTAACCTTCTTGCTAGAAGTATAGCTCTATAGAATTATGAGATCAGTGAGTATCAACATTTAATTCTTCAGTAATCTGAATTTTCTCTAATTGTTGCCTTGATAACCCAGCCAGCCCTCGAAGCAGTGTCATGTTGTAGTATTGATTAGTAGTGTCCAGAGCTAAATTATCTTAACAAAAAGGCAACATTTACATTTTGGCTTCTGAAAATTTTGATCCTTGCTAAAATAAAATAAGCAAGGTTTGCCTTCAGTACTGTTAATCTACTGCTTTCCTTCCTACTGCATTATGATAAAGACTTCTAAATCTTATCTGATTAGCATTACCCTTATTTCCTTACTAGCAGAACCACTGGGAAAGGAAGGCAGGTGCCCAGTCCAGAAAACTACCTTTCTTAGCCCTTTCCCAGACAGGCATGTGATGTGGTGGCACGTCAGGGGACACTCTATAAAGGAGACTGCCTTAATCAGCAGATCCTCTTCGCTCATGCCGCTCTTCCTCTTTTTTCTTCTTGAGTCATGGTTGTGATTGCCGGAGCTGCAACAACCATTTTGTGAGCCTGAGGATGAGAGCAGAGAGCCTGATTCCTGATGACATCAGGGAGCCGCCATATAACAGACCAGCTTGCCTACATCTGGACTTAAATGAGATCAACGTAAACCCTCATCTTGTGGAAGACACTATTTCACAGTCCCTATTAGCAGCTGCAGATTATAACTTCTGATACATTCTCTAAGAAGTTTTTGCCCCATGCCCTGCCTGAGCTCCCTGCTCCGGGACACTCACCTCTCAGTCCATCACCTACTTCTACCTTTCAGAAAATGATTGTTTTCCCTCTATGCCTCAGGCCTTCTCTCTGCCAAACTCCACTCTAGCGAAAAAAAATTGTTTTCATCTTCTCAAAGATGGCTTTGGTACTTTAACTATTTTTATTTATCTTGGAATGTATTTATAAGCCACCACCTTTTCAAAAAATTTACATAAGGCAGTTTATCACCTAGCTAATCTGATTATTTAATATGCATCATTGGGGTAATAGAAGAGGTCATGGTAGAAAATAAATGAGAAAGTAAAATATAGAGACAGTTGTATTATGCCCATGATAGCTAAAGAAATAGAAATGGAATTCTTTCCTACCCAAATACCCTTATGTAAACAAACAGGCAATCTTTTTAAGCTTTTAAAAAAAACAGTTGGTGAAGATGATTTAACTAGAGTGAGATTAAATAACCACAGCAAATTAAAATGTGAGCTATCATCAATTTTTTTTCAGGGGCCCAAATGCAGCAAATTAAATGAAGTTTAGAAACATTCTTCTCAAAAACATGGGCTTCTTCTTTCGAAAACTCATTCCTTGCTGGAGTGGCTACTTCATTTGCTCTGTTTATTGTCATTACACTATCAGCAAGTTGGACCAAAGGCACTTACAAACATGTGTGATTGTTTGGGTTAAACTGCAGCTGCTCGTGAGGCTGTTCATACTGACCCCATCTGGAAGGCTGGCTACCGAAGCAGCCCTCTTTCCCTGACTATTCTACTTTCAAAGACTCTTCTCCTTTCAAAGACGATGTACACTTATCTTTTGCACCTGAGCTTGCTGAGAAGGCCATGGAGACACTGCTTTTCTGCAACCTACCTCCTTGGAGCTGTTCCCAGCTTATTCTTCTTGCCTGATTAAAGCTTAAAGCAAACTCAGAACTGGGCTCCAAATGTTGCTTTCCTATTTCCTTTGCAACTCTGTAAACTGGGTTTCTGTCTTTAAAACCCGTAAGTTCTTCCCTTCTTCTTCCTCCACTAGGATCTGATAATCAGTAGGAAAAGGAGGAGAGAGAGGAGTGGGGGACGAGGTGGGGGAAACAAACTGTGCCTGAAAAACAAAGTTGTTACTCTTGAGGCAGAAGGCTTGCTTCCAAAAGCAGTGACTCACTGCACTGAGGGACATTGTCTTGCCTAATAAGTAAAGGCATGTGGCCAAATACACACCTGCCCACAGGTAAGGAATTTAATTCTTCCCAGGACTGCAGATACCATGAGCTTTACATGCAAACATACAGCTTTGCTTCTGCATATTTGCATGGCAATGATTTCTAGATTTCCATTCCACTCCACCTCTCGGCTGTCATTTCACAAAACAAGTGAGGAAATGGCCATGTGCTTAGGAAACTCAGAAGCTGATGGTTAAAAAAATCAACTGCGCCACAGCCTCCTCTCTGAAAACTTATAATTTTTATTGGGAAATTCTGATCAACTTCGTTATGTTGTATCTTTAGTTTCTCTTATTTAAAAAATGCCTGAAATATGTGTACTCTGATTTTTTGAGGTGTTTTAATGTATCAAAAGGGGCATTTGGTTGTAATTATCAATGTTATTTCAGTTTTAATTTAAAGGACCTTATCGCAACTTTATTCGTTATGTACTATAAACGCTATCTCCACCTCTGCCATTTAATGGAGAATTTTTGATTGATGACTCTCAGATCTCTATCTCCATCCCAGATCACTTTCCTCAGACTCATATGTACCAACAAGAGATGTAGTACAGTGATTAAATGAAAAATTTTGAAAGGCAGACTACTTATGAAGCCCAGCTCCTCCATTGACTGCTTATGAAGCCCAGCTCCTCCATTGACTGCTTATGAAGCCCAGCTCCTCCATTTACTATGTGACTTTGGATAAATTACTTAATCTCTCTGCCTCAGTTTCTAAATCTATAAAATAGGAATAATACGATATTGTATTAATTCTAAGAGGGACGTTTTAACATCTTTGAATCAAGATGTGTCTTACAATGGATGGTACCTTAGATTTGATGAAATAAACTAACAATAGCTGTTAGGGTGGCTGTGGGAATTAAATTGATCAAAATATACAATTTATGACAATATTTGGTGTATACTGAGCTTTCAATAAATGTTAGCCAGTATTATTGCATTAATGGGCATATCATTTTCAATTTTCAGGCATCTCAAACTCATCTTTCCTTCAAAGATGATTCCCCTATATTCCTTATTTTGTTTAATGTTAGTCACACAAGTCAGAAACATAAAAATCATCCCTGGCCATTCCTCTCCTTAAGCCTCCACATTCAATCACTTAACAAGCTCTCTTAATTTTACAGTCTAAACATCTCCCATCTTTCCTCTTCTTGCCATGCCCACTGCCACTGCAGTCATCATCTCTGACCTGGAACACGGCAGCCTGCCGTTCAAACTCCACTTGGCCTTTAGAGTCATCTTCCTGACATGGGAATCACATTCTAACTCTCCCTGTCTCCAACTTTTCAGTGCCTCCCCAGAACCACCAGGATGAAGTTCACTTCTTGCTGGGGCACCAGAGTCTTGGGTTGTGAGGCTTCCAGACCTTGATTGGCCTCACCCTGGGCCACAAGCCTTCCTCGCCTGATGCTCCATCCTCACATGTCACTTGCCACTCCCTGAACACTCATGAAGGCTGATGTCTCTGGGCTCTTCCCTCTGCCTAAAGTGGTCATTCCCCTTTGATCCACTTGTGTGTATCCTTCAAGACTCAGAAAGCCATGATTATCTTTCTCCTTTCCCCTCCCTCTCCTAGACAATTTTTTTTTTTTTGAGACTGAGTCTCATTCTGTCACCCAGGTTGGAGTGCAGTAGCATGATCTTGGCTCACTGCAACCTCTGCCTCCCAGGTTCAAGCGATTCTCCTGCCTCAGCCTCCCCAGTAGCTGGAACTACAGGCTCACACCACCATGCCTGGCTAATTCTTTGTATTTTTAGTAGAGACAGGGTTTCACAATGTTGGCCAGGGTGGTCTCAAACTCCTGACCTCAGATGATCTGCCCGTTTCGGCCTCCCAAAGTGCTGGGATTACAGGCGTGAGCCACCATGCCTGGCTCCTCTCCTAGATACTTCTATAGGCCCTTCTAGGTGCTCCCATGTCACCTTGTTTTTACTTCTACTCCATTTCTCTAATTCCCAGTCAATGTATATCCCTTACTTGACAGCAAATCCTTTAAGATCATATTTCTTTATCTTTAGCCATTTCCTGTCACATAGCAACCAACACATGATTGTTAAATGAATGAAAGAATAAAAGTAACAATGTACATGGTATTGTATGACAATATATTGAGAAAAATATGTTGAGAAAAACCAAGAGAGAATAATATAAGAAAAAATCCATTTAAACCTTTTGTGTTAGCTGCAACAATCAGTTCTTTTTCTTGAAATATGCCTTCTTCTCATTTTCCTTTCCTAGAAAGTGCCATCACTCTGATAAACAATCCGCGCTATAATGCCTTCAGGCCAGGGTACTGATGCTCTGTTTTTCAAATATTGACACCAACATGCTATATGGGCACCTGGTACGTGATTATTGTTCTCAGTCCTATTGCAGGACATCTTTTAGTGCAAGGCCCTGTTTTTACTGAAAAGTTGACAAACTCAACATGCTGTTAAGAATAAAAATTGCACATGTGGTAATGATAGAACAATGGAAAATGTGGACAAACATTCTCTGATGTAGCACATTCTCTGATGTAGATTGCTTCTTAAATGACTGTCCCTTACTGGGAAAGGCAATTGCATAAACACTCTTACAGACTTCAACACCATGCCACCCCACCCCAACCCTGTAGATGCTCACAAGTTAAATCTGTGATATTACAACAAAAACAGTGTGCTGGGAAAGTTCATTTGTTAGTTACATGTAGAGATTATTTTGCGGTATGGAAGAAACACAAAGGGCACTAAGTATTTGACTCCTCTTTACCCAGATGTCATGATGATGCATTTCAGTTAACAGGTTGGCCCAAGGTTGTACCAACAACGTGTTGGACCAAAGTCTCCTCACCAAAAACTTGCTTAGCACTTATTGGCCAAAGGCTGTTAGTGACATAACAGAAAGTGTCAATGGTTTCAAATTATTGACACTTTCCTTGCATAGACCCAGAGCCCATGTGCAGTAGCAGAAAATCATGACAAGAAATGATATTCCGCATTTAAAAATCAGCAGATATATAATATACTCTTTTTGGTTGAAAGGGGAAGAAAAGATTAGAGACTTAATGTACCTTGTAGATGTGGTCTTATCAGACCTTCACTTTGTGCGTACATTCTTTTGATTGAGCACAGGACAATGACAGATAGGGGGTGGAAGTGGTTGCAAGATGGTTCTTAGGAAAAGAAAGGTAGATATTTCAGTCCCTGTAGTTACTATCTAAAGTGTAACAATATTTGGCTGTAGTTGCCCTGATTACTTTTCAAACTGTGTATCTTATCGCCCAGTCCCACACCGGGGGAGATAATTAAAGGAGAGCCTCCTTATGGTATCATCCTCTAGGTCCCTGCTTCAGAACTGCATTCTCAGCAAAGCAATGTTGTAACCAAGTCCCTATGGCAATTCCAGCACTCAGCATCCCCACCCCCTGGAAAGAATCCAAGACAGAACCACCTCCCATAAGATCCCATTCTGCTGTAAGTACGGTACTTTACGGTACTTTAAGTTGTACTAATCACATTAAAGATGTAAGATTCCATTTATATTCAATGTAATTTTCGTCGAGTTGGAGGAAAAAAAGTTTTGCCTGAAAAAAAGATGTTGAACCAGTTCTTACAACCTCTCTGTTACTTGCTGGAGTATTACAATATTTCCCTTTTTTTTTTGAGATGGAATCTGGCTCTATCACCAGGCTGGAATGCTGTGGCACCATCTCGGCTCACTGCAACCTCTGACTCCCTGGTTCAAGTGATTCTCCTGCCTCAGCCCCCATTCCTTGACATATAGGAGAATGACTCTTCCCCACCTAGTGAAATTAAACATAGCCATTTGACTTGTGCTGGCCTATGAAGTGTGAAGCGAAAGCGACAGGTGTGATTTCTGAGCCGAGGCATCTAGAGCCCAGGTGAGGTTCTCTGTGCTGGTTCCCTTGCCACAGTGATGGTAAATACAGATGCTGAGACACAGGTGCCCCAAGATCACACGGCCTGGAAGGTGGAGCCATGACGTGGTGGGTCACCTAAATCTAAAATGGACTTGGACTGACATTTTGGGCCAATTAAAAAAAAATACAAAAAAAAAAATGGACGTGGTGTGACAAAGAAATTTTGTATTGTTACCATAGCATAAACTAACCTATGAGGATAATACAGGAACTTTGGACTTTGGAAAATGGAATTTGTTTTTGCAGTCTCTACATTAGTCATCAATAAAATTCTAAAGGTTTCAAGGTTACGTAACTCCCTGAGAGAAGTTTATAACCTGTTTCACCAAATAAAAATCAGAACGTAGTATTTCCATTAAAATTGAGTTACTAGAATATACCAAAATCCCTTGCCATAGTTCATAATTTTCACTCTAATTAAAGTTCTATATGTTGTGACAAGAAAATTGAGCTGCTGCCTAGTGTGACTGCAATTATGAAGGAAGTTTAAAGTGATAATTAATTGAAATCACAGTGCCGACTTAAAATTACCAGTTTGGCCTCTGAATCATTAAAACCAAAATTGTAAGCATTTTATGCAAAAAATGCATTGGGCTAATTACTTAACAAATTATTTAATATCCATCATAATATTCCAAGAATATGGGGAAAATATTTTTGATCTACAAATACAAAAAGTGGTTATCTTAATAGTTGTGTGCTTCCGGCTGGGCGCAGTGTTCACGCCTGTAATCCCAGCACTCTGGGAGGCCGATGCGGGCACATCACGAGGTCAGGAGATCGAGACCATCCTGGCTAACACAGTGAAACCCCGTCTCTACTAAAAAAATATAAAAATTAGCCGGGCGTGGTGGCGGACGCCTTGTAGTCCCAGCTACTTGGGAGGTTGAGGCAGGAGAATGGTGTGAACCCAGGGGGCGGAGCTTGCAGTGAGCCGAGATCGGGCCACTGCACACCAGCCTGGGTGACAGAGCAAGACTCTGTCTCAAAAAAAAAAAAAAATAGTTGTGTACTTCCATGGCCCAAAACAAATTACGTCATCTGAAAAATATTGCAATCAATGTGGAAATTTTAGGCCTCTGAAAATAAGTGATAATGAGGTGATCCCCCATCCTTTGTGGCATCTAAAGGTTACATGAATAGAATCTTTTTTTTTTTTTTTTTTTAGACAGAGTTTTGCTTATTGCCCAGGCTGGAGTGTAGTGGGGCGATCTCGGCTCACTGTAACCTTCACCTTCCGGGTTCCAGCAATTCTCCTGCCTCAGCCTCCTGAGTAGCTAGGATTACAGGCATGCACCACCATACCCGGCTAATTTTTTTTGTATTTTTAGTAGAGATGGGCTTTCACCAGGTTGGCCAGGCTGGTCTTGAACTCCTGACCTCAGGTGATCCACCCACCTCGGCTTCCCAAAGTGCTGGGATTACAGGCGTGAGCCACCACACCCGGCCACATGAATAGAATCTTAAGGTGATTCATATGAAAAGTATTTATTGAGCACTTTCTGTGGTGTTCAGTTGTGCTTGACTCTGAAGACAGAATAATAAGAGATGTGGTCTCTGCCCTCCTCAGCCTTACAATCTAGCAACCTCTGCTTCAGAGTGTATGCACTGCTATTTCTTTCCAAGTTTTAAGTTGTGAAAATAGCATTATCAAATCTTAATAGTAATAGAGTAGAGCTTCATCTATCTAGAAATCTCAATTATCTGGAACACATCTGAGAATCAGGAAGGCAGTAATAGGAATCTTTGAGAATTCAATCTTATGCCACACACACGGCAAAAAGGTATGAGTATTTATTCTGTGTTGTTCACCTGCTAACACTTTATACCGAATACACTATCATCACAAAACCCTATGACAGAATATGAGTAGTGTCCCCATTTTACAGATGAGGAAATTGAAGCTGAAAAAGGTATAACATCTGATGGATTCAGGATTTGAATCCAAATCTGTCTAACTCCAGAGCTCAATATCTTAACCACTACCCCACATAGCATTTTGCAAAGACTATAAAGTAAAACTCTTGTTTCCACTTCCAGAAGAATCCCTGGGGCCTTGTTCCAATTACTGTCTAACCACTCTGGATTCTGTGGTTCAGGAATTTGGAAAGGGTGCAGCAGGGACATTTGTCACCATTCCATGATGTCTGTGGCCTCAGATGGGAAGACTCAACAGCTGGGGGAGGGGGATTCAGGAGATGAAGGTTGGAATTATCTGGAGGTGTCTTCACGCATGTGCCTGGAGGTTGATGCCTGTCAGCCTGGTCCTCAGCTGGAGCTATTAACTGTACCATCTGCACGTGGCCTGGGCTTCCTCATAGCATGGAAGTCTTAGTAGAGTCAGATCTTTTGCCTGATGACTCAGAACTCCAAAACTAAGAGTGATAGAGCAGAACCTGCATTGCCTCTTAACACCTAGAATTGGAAGACACATAGCATCCCTTCTGCCATAATTGTCACAAATCTACCCAGGCATAGAAGAATAGAATGTAGACTCCATCTCCCAATGGGGGTCAAGGCCACAGTTTAGAGGGTGATGTGGCCTGGAGGACTGTTGCAGCCATCTTTGGGAAGTGTCATGCCATAAGCCCTCCCCTAAAGTTTTTGTTTTTGTTTTTGTTTTTGTTTTTTTGAGACAGAGTCTCTCTCTGTCACCCAGGATGGAGTGATATGGCACGATCTTGGCTCACTGCAGCCTCTGCCTCCCAGGTTCAAGCAATTCTCCTGCCTCAGCCTCCCTGGTAACTGGGATTACAGATTTGTGCCACCACACCCGGCTAATTTTTGTATTTTTTTTTTTTTTTTTTTTTAGTAGAGACAGGGTTTCATCATGATGGCAAGGCTGGTCTCAAACTCCTTACCTCAAGTGATCCACCCACCTCGGCCTCCCAAAGTGCTGGGATTACAGGCGTGAGCCACCATGCCTGGCCACCTCCCCTAAAGTTAAATTGCTCCTCTCTCCTGTCCAATCCACCTTGGGAATATTCAAACATATTCCAAGTAAAGAGAATAGGATAATAAGCATTGTGTAAACATTGCCTATCTTCAGTAATGACCAACAATCTGTCAACTTAAACAATAAATGTCAAGAATGGCTAATAGGGCAGGAATTAAAAATAGGAATGTCAGTTTTACCGTAAGACAGAAATAGAAAAATTATGGGCAGCAGATAAGAAAAACTCAATAACTATAGCCTGCAGGGCGTTTAATCACGGCCTACATCTCCACGCAGCTCAATAACTCCATGGGCATCCTCTATTCTTGTATTGAAAAACACCAGTTTTCTAATAATGACTCTACCCATCCGAACAAGGTTAAATTCTAAATTCTATCTAGTATATTCCATGAAAGAAGGCAGCAAAGTGTATGCTGTATTTTATAAAGATTTGCATTTGAAAGAGGTGCTTTAGAGAGTAAGTGCATTAATCTCACATGGAACAACTCATCTCTCAGTGCTCATTTCTGAATCATTACTGCTCAGGTAGAAAAGATGCAGTCCTGTGATGCTTTTGTTCAGATGAGAAAGAAAGAAAATATTCTGCAGGTTGCATTTTCTAGAGCTAATGCCCAAATTCCACCCACAGTTACCAAGCTGGCACACACTGCACATTCAAGCAGCCATTGTGCCAATGCATGCACACATTTGTAGACAAACACCTGCTATGGGTATTTAATTTTGATCCTTATCTCCTAAAACTATTTTTAAAGAGAAAAAGATTTCCTATGGCCTTGAGTTCCAAAGTTAGCAAAAACTGATAGACTAATTGGAGACAGACAAATGTCCACAGACCATTCATCATAAGGAAGACCAGTAGTTATCCCCATTGGATTTTCCCCCACCAAATTTGCTTGCCTTATAAGAATCTGTTTTTTGTTGGTTTTTTGGAGACAGAGTCTCACTCTGTTGCCGAGGCTGGAGGGCAGTGGTGCTATCTCGGCTCACTGCAACCTCCACTTCCTGGGTTCATGTGAGTCTCCTGTCTCAGCCTCCCAAGTAGCTGGGATTATAGGTGTGTGCCACCACATTAGGCTAATTTTTGTATTTTTAGTAGAGACAGCGTTTCACCATGTTGGTCAGGCTGGTCTTGAACTCCTGACCTCAGGTGATCCCACTACCTTGGCCTCCCAAAGTGCTGGGATTACAGGTGTGAGCCACTGTGCCTGACTAGAATCTGTTAAGATGTATATAAAATGTTAGTTTGCATTTCTTGAGCACACACTGGCCAACAGCTGAGATGAGCCAACCAGAAGTAAAAAGTCTGAACAGATCATGTGAAGAATTGGAACTAGAGTTTATCAATAGAGGGCAATACCTTACTGTGGGATCATTAATGGTAAAAGAGGTATTTGATAGTATTTTTAAGTTTATATTGATCTTTTTTAACTTCTGAATACTATCAGATATATGGAGAGTATCTAAAAAGAAGTCTCTTCCTAGGGCTCCTGTGTACCCACAACTTCCATTTCAATTCTCACAGTGACTTCTAAAAAATGTTTCTCATTGAGCAATGGAAAATTTGAGTTATGTTGTAACATCACCAGACAGCTCTTGAGTAAGTCGCAGCATAGAATTCTTTAGACCAGGGATACCTGATGGGATGTGAAAACCAAGTAAATATATGGGGAATCCAACAGCACAGGGAGGTGGGGCAATACAAAAACAAACAAACAAAAAAACAAAACAAAACAAAACAAAAGCCAGTAGTGATATTGGTCTCTCTGATTGTTTAGGAAAGGTTCTGTGAACTTTAAAAATCTCACCCTCTCACCCTACACCTCCATCCAAGTCTCTGAGCTTTATTTTTCTTTGTTTATTAAACATCTCTAATGTAAAAGCATAATTGTTTCTTTGTTTTAGTTGCTAGAGCCTGCGGGCTGTGAGTGGCTGTATACACCTCTGTTGCTACCTGAGAGAAGACCTGTAAGGGAGAAGTCAGGGAACAAAGAGAGGGCGCTCCATCTAGAATCTGTAGAAAACTGGAAGCCAGAAACACATCCAGACACGGTGGGAAAGGTGCAAATGAGAAACAAATAAGAAAAGAGAGGAAACCTGTTGTTAAATCCATTTGTGAGAAATAGTTATAGTGTTTTCATGACTTAACAAGCATATCGCAAGACAAAAACCATATAAAGGAAAGAGTTTAGGATTTCTTTCAGCCATCAGACAAATGATTTATATTTTGGCAGTGTTTGAAACCTACATACTTGTTGTTGTTGTTGTTAAATTCACGACTGTGCCTTGGCTTCATGAACACAGTAGTATATTATACCTTATCAAAATATAAAGATCATGTCTTCTGAAACGAAAGAAAAATTTCCAATATTATTCCTAAAAGAACAGAATAGAATTTGAAAAACAAGACAAATTGTAAGAAACAATTCAAAATACACTCCCAAATCACACTAAATGTAAAAAATCTGAAATGTCCAATTGAAAGACAAAGATTGTCTGATTGTTTATTTGTTTCTTTTAAAGATATGCATTCTTCACAAGAGACACATTTATAAAATATCCATAAGAATGGTCAAAAGTAAAAACTATGTAGACAAATACTAACCAAAAGAAAAGTAAAAAAAAAAAAAAAACTAGGGGCATAAAATTAACTTGACAAAATAGACTTTAAAGCAGAAAGCATTATTGAAGATAGAGAGTCTCTACTACATAATACTTTTTTAAACATTAAATTTACCAGTATGTTATAATTCTGTATTTGTGCACATCTAATATAACTTGGAAATTTATAAAGCAAAAATTAATAAACTGCAAAATTTGACATATTCATCATCATATAGTAAGAGCTTTCAACATACCTGTCTCCTTTATTGACAAATTAAGCAGACAAAAATTTAAAAAGAAATAGATTTTGGCTGGGTGTGGTGGCTCATGCCTGTAATCCTAGCAGTTTAGGAGGCTGAGGAAGAGTTTGAGACTAGCCAGAGCAACATGGTGAAACCTTGCATCTATAAAAAAATACAAAAATTAGCCAGGCATGGTGGCATGTGCCTGTAGTCCCAGCTACTCAGGAGGCTGAGGTGGAAAGATCCCCTGAGCCAGGGAGGTTGGGCCTGCGGTGAGCCATGATCGTGCCACTCCAGCCTGGGCAAAAAAGAAAGGCTCTGTCTCAAAAAAAAAAGAAAGAAAAAGAAATAGATTTCAATGACAAAATCAGTGAGCTTAAATTATAGACAAACATAGAACCCTGAACCAAACCATTAGAGAATAAATATTTTTCTGAAATACACATGAGAATTTTACAAAAATGAACCAAAAAACTATGTCCTAAAGCCAGTTTTAACATATTTCAGGGAATCAGTACAGAGGGGCCATGCTCTCAGATCACACTGTAATCAAGTTAGACATTAAACATAAAAATAAATAAGTTAAAAATCTAGGCCGGGCGCGGTGACTCATGCCTGTAATCCCAGCACTTTGGGAGGCTAAGGCGGACGGATTGCCTGAGCTCAGGAATTCCAGACCACCCTGGGCAACATGGTGAAACCCCGTCTCTACTAAAATACAAAAAATTAGCCGGGTGTGGTGGTGGGCGCCTGTAGTCCCAGCTACTTGGGAGGCTGAGGCAGGAGAATGGCGTGAGCCCCAGAGGCAGAGGTTTCAGGGAGATTTCGCCACTGCACCCTAGCTTGGGCTACAGAGTGAGACTCTGTCTCAAAAAAAAAAAAAAAAAAAAAAGTCTATGCAATTGGAAATTCAGGAACATACTCCCAAATAATTCATGAGATGCAGCAAACCCATATGGAAATTTCTAAAATACTTAGAACTGAAGAAGAATAAAAACGTTGTAATCAAAGCAAAAACTTGAAAAGAAATACATATCCTTAAAATATTTTCAATATATAGGAAGAAAGGAAAAAATAAAAGAACTTTTAAAAGTTTTGTACTAATTTGATAGAACACCAACAGGTTTGTTCATGACCCCGGGCTCCTTCCCCTGCCCTAGGCTTCCAGGAAGAACACTCCATCACCCAAGGAGACCCAGATCTAGCAACTGATGATGCACTACTATATCATTATGTGGCACCGAAACACTGCCTGGCCCCAAAGTCACACTCCAAAGGTTTCTTGGCTTGCACTCACTCCGGGAAAGAAGAAAAAAAAAAAAAGGAAAATTAGGAAGATTTGAAAAAAAAAAAAAAAACCACAACAATATGAATGGATAGAGAACTGGGAAATGATTTTTCTTTGATCCTTAACTGAACCATCATCAATCTCTACCACAGTAAACCACGCATAACCACCCAGTTTCTAATTACGGAGCTGGTAAAAATGTGATGAATTGTATGCCACATCAGCCATAACTAGACTCCTAACATTGCCTTGATGGCTTCGTCAGTTTAAGGTCCAGATTTGCTAAGCAGTGTGGCTTTAGAAAAATCACTTAAATTATGTCAGTTTCCTCATTTAAATGCCTCAAAAGTAAAATTACATTTCTCAAATATTTTATAGTGAGGAAGAGATGATAAAAATAATATAGCACAGGGTCTTTTGGCTACTGCTGGTAGTTATTATTTCATATGTAGTATCTGCCTAAGAGAGGAACCTTACAAAGGAAGTTTTTAGAAAGCACTTGACCTCGGCCTGGATTGAAGGTTTTTAGCATATCAGAAGGAGACATAGAATAAGACACTGGTCCGTCTTAAAGGGAAGAAAGAAGAATCATCGAGGCAAATGTCAACAGTGCCCAGAGAGCACTGTCCAGGATTTATCCTGTCTGGTAGTAATAGCTACACCACTCTGTCACGGACTGGACGAAGCAGGCCAGCAAACCACAGGCCTCCCCATCTGGGTGGCATTTTTCATAGGCAATCAGAAGGTGCCACCCTCTCGTCAACATTTGCCACAGTGTGGGAAAATCTAACAATAACAATCAGGACTTTCTATTGAGGCACCATGTCCAAGAAGACCCAGCTAAAATGTAAATGCTATTTGTGAAATATGTACAAGGTAAATAGTTTCGTTGCTGCTAATCTGAAAGAATGGGAAATACCATCATTGAGTTTTAAGGTGAGAGGTGGGAAGAATATCATATGGTGTAATGAGTTTGGGCGTCGGACCTGGGTTCAAATTTCTACTTCTCATTCTAGTTGTGTGACCATGGGCAAGTTACTTATGCATTTTGAGACTATTCTCTTACGTAAAAATTAGGAATAGGCTGGGCATGGTGGCTCATGCCTGTAATCCCAGCACTTTGGGAGGCAGAGGTGGGTGGATCGCTTGAGGCCAGGAGTTCGAGACCAGCCTGGCCAACATGGTGAAACCCCATCTCTACAAAAAATACAAAAATTAGCTGGGCATGGTGGCATGCGCCTGTATTTCCAGCTACTCGGGAGGTTGAGATGGGAGAATCGCTTGAACCCAGGAGGCAGAGGTTGCAATGAGCCAAGATTGCACCACTGCATTCCAGCCTGAGTGACAGAGTGAGAGCCTGTCTCAAAAAAAATAAAAATTAGGAATAAAACAGATTTACCTCTCAGCCAGGTGGAGTAGCCCACACACCCATAGACCCAACAACTATAGGAGACAGAGGCGGCAGGATTGTTCGAGCCCAAGAGTTTGAGCTCAGCCTGGACAACATAGCAAGACCCCATCTCTAAACAAAAAATCTACCTCTCAAGGTGAGGTAAGGTTTAATGAGTACTTGCACAGTGTAGAACCCACTATGCATTACATGAATGTCAGTAATTATTAACAAAAAGAAAAATAATCGATCTGGAGCAGGACAGGCTTGAATGAGGAGCCTCTGCAGGAGACATGGCATCCACTGAAAGCATCATAAGACTTGGGATATCTACTGAGGAGCAGACGAGAAGGCAGAGAATATGAAGAAAGAGTGGGACACAAAGGACTTATTTCTCCTCCTTGCCAGTACAGTCTCAGACCAGCGGGGAGAGAATGTTCTCCATTCAGAGTGAAGGCAGTTCAGGCCCAAGAGGATCTAGCCATGCAGCGTTGCTGGTTAAACCCCTGTTCAATGAGCCCAGGCCTGCCTTGAGTCTTGACTGCCAGTGAAAAGCAAATTGCTTCCTATTATATCCCTCATATTTCCCAGACAGCACCTACCTACTGAACACTGCACATAAATTCCAGATGAAAGCAGGGCATCGGTTTCCCAGCCATGTAACTTTCCCAAACACTGCACACACAGATTTATAGTCATGTTGGGCAGCCATGCAAAAGGTTGCATTATGTTCAGTAGTATTGCTTCTCATTTCAGGAGGATTTTGGTGGAGGAACTTTGAAGTGGGAGCTTGAATCATGCATCTGTAAATTCCTCATTTTCCACAGTTATTAAAACACCCGCCAGTGCCAGGGTATCCCATTGTTCATTCACTCCTTTGGCACGCCAGCATGGGGGTAGATGCCAGCCACACAACAGCCACAGAGACACAGACAAATAGTAGGTGAGGCGGGCCGGCGTCGTGGAGACGAGCGATTGCCTGCCAAAGGGACGCATGCTTGTGACCGGCCGCACCGTCGCTGCTTAGAAGTCTTTTAACTCCTTGTATGTGTTGAAAACTCCTTCAGAGCTATGCAACAAAATAAAAACAAAAATAAAACCATGGAAAGGAGCCAAGTTTATCAAGGGATGGCTTTCTGAATCCCATAAAGTTTCCATTTTAAATAATAATAAAAGCACTCATACATCCTAAGATCAGCAAACATTTTCTTATTGTTTCTCATCCACTCTCTTGGACCTGGCCACAGCCCATGGGTCAGGAAGATGGTTTCCGGTAGGGTCTCCTCAGGTGGTGGTGGGAAGACATATATATATAGTTTAGGAGATCAAGCCTGGCCACAGAAATATAAGTTAGAACCAGAACAACATGTTTGCTTTAATTGCGTCTTTTCTTTGCAGTATAAAGCACCTTATATAAAGTACTTTGTTCCCATGTACCCCAGATATCCACTAATAATTATCATTGTAATGCTTTAATGGTCATTTTCCTACCCAGAGAATTCAAAACTTTTCACCTAAATTATGTCCTTTTTCTTCAAAATATCCTCATAAAATAGCTAGAGGAAAGTTCTTACTATCTCATTCTAACATACAAATAAAATGAAGCCCAAACCTAGACATTTATAGAGAGCATAGCCAGAAACTAATAAAACTAATTTTTAGTTGTAGCTTGTGGAATCACTTTTATTATGCCCATACCTGCTAACTCACCCATAATCATCTTCTTTCAGTAACCTAACCAAGACAAACTGACTGCCCTGGCTTGAACCACAGAGGTGACTATGTGGAGGCAGCATTCCTTCCAGGAAGGGTCGGCAGACATGTTATCTGTCACCAAAATGTAGTTCTTAACGGAAAGATGGAGTAGTCTTTTAAAAAGCCAATCAAAACACGCCTGAATTGTCTAATACAGAGTTACCCAACATCATCATTATTGACATTCTGGATGATTTTTTAGGGTGGGGATCATCCGGTGTACTTTAGGATGTTTAGCAGAATCCTTGGCTTCTACCCACTAGATAGATGCCAGTAGCACCCTTTCAGTAGGACAATAAAAAAATGTCTCCAGACATAGCCAAACATTCCCTGGAAAGGGAGGAGGAGGTGGGCAAAACCATCTCCTGTTGAGAACTACTGGCCTAATCAATCCAAACAAGTAACAATTAAACACTACCCTCAGCCTGGTACTGTGACAGCCAGAGGCTAGAGGCTAATAAATAATATTGTTCTTGTCTTCATGAGACTGGAAGTGAAGGTGGAGTTTACATTCACAGAAAGGATGTGGGAGGTTAGGAGTGAAGAATCCAAATATGCCTAGGAATTTCCGAGACGGGAAAATCACAATGGATCAGAGCAGACTTCATGGAGGAGATGGGCTTTGAATTAGACCTTGAAAAACAGGTAGACTTTGAAAACATTCAAATATGGGAAAATTTCTGAAGGGAAAACATGATGAACAAGGATCTGAATGGCAAAAGAAGAACAGATAGTCTAAGCCGATGCTGGAGAGTTGTCTCCTTCTGATGGATCAATGTCAACAGTTTGTTAGTTGCACTGTTAGAAGATACAGAGGACAGGTTTTGGCCAGGCATGGTAGCTCACACTCGTAATCTCAGGCACTTTGGGAGGCCAAGGCAGGTGGATCACCTGAAGTTAGGAGTTCAAGACCAGCCTGGCCAACATTGCAAAACCCTGTCTCTACTAAGAATAAAAAAATTAGCCAGGCATGGTGGTGGGCACCTGTAATCCCAGCTACTTGGGAGGCTGAGGCAAGAGAATCGCTTGAACCTAGAAGGTGGAGGTTGCAGTGAGCTGAGATTGTGCCACTGCACTCCAGCCTCAGCAACAAGAGTGAAACTACATCTAAAAATAAATAAATAAATAAAATAAAATAGAAAATATATAGCCGGGCGCAGTGGCTCACGCTAGTAATCCTAGCACTTTGGGAGGCCAAGGCAGGTGGATTGCCTGAGCTCAGGAGTTCAAAACCAGCCTGGGCAATGAGGCAAAACCCTGTCTCTACTGAAAAAAATACAAAAAATTAGCCAGGTGTGGTGGCGGGTGCCTGCAATCTCAGCTACTCGGGAGGCTGAGGCACGAGAATTGCTTGAACCCAGGAGTCAGAGGTTGCAGTGAGCTGAGATCGCACCATTGCACTCCAGCCTGGGCAACAGAACGAGACTGTCTCTCAAAAAAAGAAGAAGATACAGAGGACAGGTTTTCATATTACTTGACGCAATGAAGCTAGAAGTAATAGTAAGTATGGTGGGTGGCAAAAATCAATCTCAAAAAAAATCTTAAGCACCTGGAGCAACGTTTTGAATTGAATAAAATGTTATTTCACTGAAACAAATGTTAAGGTCTGTGTTTGCATCCAAAACACCCACCTGAAGAAATGTAGTACGGCGGTAACAAGGCATAGCAAAAGCAAATGTGAAAAAAAATTTAGGGATTTCATCAATGGTATGTTTAATGGAAGTATATAAGTATAAAATATATAGTTTTATATATAGTCCCTGACACCCTAAAATATATAAAAAATATATAGTTTTATATATAGTCCCTGACACCCTAAAATACTGAGAATTCTACATTCCATTAATAGAAATACAATATCTGGGCTGACACAGTGGCTCACACCTGTAATCCCAGCACTTTGGGAGGCTGAAGCAGGAGGATCGCTTGGGCTCAGAAATTTGAGACCAAGCTGGGCAACACAGCAAGACTCCATCTCTACAAAAAAAAAAATTTAATTTGCCAGATGTGGTGGTGTGCACCTGTAGTCCTACAGGTGGGAAGGCTAAGGCAGGAGGATGCTTGAACCAGGGAGTTTAAGGCTACAGTGAGCTATGATTGCACCACTGCACTTCTGCCTAGATGACAGAGTGAGACTCTGTCAACTCTGTCAAAGAAAGAAAGAAAGAAAGGGAGAAAGGGAGAAAGAGAGAGAGAGGGAGGGAGGGAGGGAGGGAGGGAAGGAGGGAGGGAAGGAGGGAGGGAGGGAGGGAGGGAAAGAAGGAAGGAATGAAGGAAGGAAGGAAGGAGAGAGAAAGGAAAAGGAAGAAAGACATAACATCTAGAGTGAGGGAGGTGACAGTCCTTCTAAACACTACAGTTAGTACCCACAGGTGGGTTACTGTGCTCAGTTCTTTTTAGAGCTTACAGACAAACTAGAACATAACAAAAGAATGGCAACCCCAGTGAGGAAGAAGTTTAGAATCAGGCCATGTGAGGAACCTGAATTTTCAATCAAGAGACAAGGAAAACCTGGAAACGTGATAACTATTTTTGCATATTTTAAGGACTTCAATAGTAGGGATAGAACTAAGAACCAGTAACCAGGCTAGGTGTGGTGGCTCACACCTTTAATCCCAGCATTTGGGGAGGCCAGTGGTCAAGGATTTCTTGAGCTCAAGATTTCGAGACCAGCCTGGGCAATGTAAAGGGACCCCATCATTACAAAAAATTAAAAATTAGTGGTGGCACAGACCTGTAGTCCCAGCTACTCAAAAGGCTGAGGCGGGAGGATTGCTTGAGCCTAGCAGATCAAGGCTGCAGTGAGCCGAGATTGTGGCATTGCATTCCAGTGTGGGCAACAGAGTAAGACCCTGTCTCAAAAAAAAAAAAAAAAAAAAAAAAGAATCAGTAAGCAGAAGGTATAGAAAATCAACTTTTGAATCATACACAAAAAATAACTTTCCCATAATTAAAGTTGCCCAAAGATGTTCCCCTCAGGAGGAAGTGGGTTACCACTAGAGAAGGTTCTTTAATATAAACCAGATGGCCACTGAACAAGAAACTTAATATCTCTATAAGCGGGTATAGTGGTGTCTGCCTGTAGCTCCTGCAGCTCAGGAGGCTGAAGTGGGAGAAGTTTGAGACCAGACTTGTCAATATAGCAAGATCCCATCTATAAAATAATTTTTTAAAATAAAATCAAAAACGGCCGCGCATAGTGGCCCATGCCTATAATCCCAGCACTTTGGGAGGCTGAGATGGTTGGATCACTTGAGCCCAGGAACTCAAGGCTGCAGGAAGCCCTGATTGCACTACTGAACTCCAGCTTGGACAACAGAGCAAGACCCTGTCTCAAAAAAAAAATGCTTTAAATCTCTATATACACTATTTCTTCTACCTATAATTAAAAGTAAGAACAAAGAACTTTATGAGATAATGATGCATGGCAAGAGCTTAGCAACTAGAAGATACCTCAATAAATTGCATCTATTATTTTTAATCTGTTTTCTATAACCTACTCCCTACCCCACTATCACAGAGCTGCAGGTAGACCAACTGATGTCTGGAGTTTCCAGTAATCTTTCACTATTTTTGGAAGGAGAATCAGGATCTAGGACATATGGTGATGGGAATGATAAGTCTAGAACTCCAACTTCATAGTTAGGGAGGTTAGGAAAGAAGTGGCATAACATTTACTGCTTTCATGATATTATAACCATACAGTATAACCCACTTCCTGCATTTCCCAACTTACTTATTTGAGTGAAAGCTTTTGTAACAACTTGTCTTCCGCTGACTCGTGAGAGCATGTGCATTGCAGGCCCATACTGGGAGAATGCGGGGGACTTCCCACCATCTTCATTTTGTGTGGCTTTTACAGCAGGTGTCAGCTATATTAACATCATAGTAAATGTCCTGAATCTTTCTTCACATCAAGATCTGATGTGGGTCTAATCATGAAAGACTAAAATACTACTCAGAAGCTCAGAATAACCATGGCAAGAAAAAACATGGCAATTTGTCTTTGATGTGTGGTCTATAAGAAATTATCATGCTAGTTAACAGCAAAATCCTTCCTTTGGTGGGAGAATTGCCAAATTGTCATCTGGAACTGGCGTAAGATGTTAGGCTTTCTTCTGGACACGTGTGGGAGCCGACTTCAGTTTCTTTACTTGAAATTAGAAAGGGCTGACATCCCAGCCTGGCTTGCCACCAGTCCCCTTAATGTATCATGTATTCAAGTGCAGAACCAGGACTAGGGACAGGTAAGTGAGGCACCTAGAGCATACATTTTGTGGAGCTGCTCATCCCAGGCTGGCAAGACCCTGGAACTGAGGATCTCAGGTACCCTGCGCATCTCCTTCACTTCGCCCTACTCCCAGCCCTGTCTAGTCAAATGGGTATAGACCTTGCATTTTTTTCAAATATTTGCCTTTAATTGTCCTGGTTCTCCAGTTCAACTGCCCTACTTCTCTCCTACTCATTCTTTAAAACTGAATTCAAATGTTACCTTCTTTTGAAAGCCCTCCACGGCTGTTGTAGCTGACTGCTACCTCACCCTCTGCAGAATTCCTCCTCACACTTACGTGGAGCTCCCTTGAGGCACATTAAACTCTTTATTTTGTTTCTTTATTTTATTTTATTTTATTTTTATTTATTGAGGCAGAGTACCACTCTGTTGCCCAGGCTGGAGTACAATGGTGGAGGTTGCAGCAAGCAACCTGGGTTCAAGCGATTCTCCTGCCTCAGCCTCCCGAGTAGCTGGGACTACAGGCATGCGCCACCACGCCCAGCTAATTTTTGTATTTTTAGTAAAGATGGGGTTTCATTCTGTTGGCCAGGCTGGTCTCAAACTCGTGACCTCAAGTGATCTGCCCACTTGGCTTCCCAAAGCGCTGGGATTATAGGCATGAGCCACCATGCTTGGCCTCTTTGCCATGTTCCCTATTACTTATACATTTACCTGTGACAGGCTGTTAGTTTCCTGCTCTGCTGTATACCTTCCCTTTCACTTTGGTAACGAAACCTTGATAGATAGATGGATACATCTACTTAGCTAAAAGACTATATTTTAAGCCTCTCTTGAAGCTAGGAGTGGCCATATGATTAACTAAATCTTGGCCACGCAGTTATAATGAAGTATAGATTTCCTCAAAAATCTCAGTGTAAGGTAAAGGGTATACCCTTCTCATTCCACTTTCTATTTCTTCATGTATGGAAAGTGGATGTGATGGCTGGACTTCCAGCAGCCATTTTAAATCACAAGTTCAATGTCCTCACTCTAGGCAGGTGGAGAGGAAAGCTGGAAGATCCTGGAACACTAACAATACTGGGAGTCTTTAACAAGCTCTAGACTGCCTCCCTCCAAACTTCTTTTAAAAGGAAGAGAAATAAACCAGCATCATTGAAACCACTGTTACTTTTTGCTTTCTGACATGTGCACCCAAACTTAATTCTAATTAATATAAAATTTGATACCAAAAGAGAGCTACTGCATTAGCTAAAATGTAGGATTCACTTAAAGGAGGTGTCTGAGTGACATAGAAAAGGTAAAACTATGATTGCATCTGTGAATAATCACTGCATTCTAGCCTGAGCAACATAGCAATACATCATCTCTTGGAGGGGGGGAAAATAAAACTCTTGCAGACTAGGGAACTGGTGATCCTAGTAAAAACAGTGACTAGCAGAACATTCAAAGGTGCCAACCAAGCCTGTGGCATTAGTGAAAATAGTATGAAAGTTTTAGAAGGGTGGTGTGTTTTGGCAAGTTCTGATACTTTCAACAAAATCCTACACAAAAGAGATAAACCTAGGCTAGAGCTAGTCAGTCTGCCAGCAGAGTGGAAGGAAATACAATTTTGCTAAGATGCCACAGCCAGCAGCTAGGTTAACAAGTCTAATGTGGAACATTTTCAGGCTGAAAAAGCTGACTACATCCTTACTTCAAAGTGAAACTATTATGAGCCACAGCCAGAGGCAAGAGCACAAGCCACCTTGTGGTTGTGCTATATTGTGGTTGATATATCTTATATCTTATAAGATATAAGACCATGACCCCACACCTTGTTCAAGCCTTCCCTTCAGGAATTTTCTATAGAACAAGGAAGCAGCAAATTTGCAAAGATCCCCATGCCTATTTTTCAAATCATCTCAAGTTAATTTGGGGGAAGAGAAGTTGGCAAAGCACAAAGGCCCGTATGTAATAAACTAGAGACTCTAGGCTCAAAAATTATATGAAAACAGGACCTCTGGTTCTGGTTATTCACATACAGGATGGAACAACAGCAAGAAGACTGGAAGCCCCTCAGATTTTTAGGGAACTGTGTTGCCAATGAAACCCCAAGCCTGGCATCATGATGTTGCAATCCCTAAAACAATCCAAGTCTCCAAACTTACACCAAAAAGAGGTGGGTGTGAATGCAGACCCCAAGAACAGTGTACTTTATAATGCTCACCTTGGAAAGATCACAGAGGAGAGGGGGCCAGAAAGAGTGTCTGAGAAGGTAAAACCAATGGCCAACAAGGACAACAGCCATGATAATAACTCCACTGCCTAGGCTGGAGTCTTCACTGTTCTGGCTCAGCATCATTTAAAAGTTGCTATGGCCCTCAAATCTTCTATTTTTCTCCTTTTCTGCATGGATACTGATATGGTTTGGCTGTGTCCCTACCCATATCTCATCTTGAATTGTAGCTCCCACAATTCCCACATGTTGTGGGAGGGACCCAGTGGGAGATAATTGATTCATAGGGGCGGTTTCCCTCATACTGTTGTGAATAAGAATAAGTCTCATGAGATCTGATGGTTTTATAAGGAGAAACCCCTTTTGCTTGGCTCTCATTCTGTCTCTTGCCTGCCACCATGTAAGGCGTGCCTTTTGCCTTCCACCTTCTACCATGATGTGAGGCCTCCCCAACCACGTGGAACTCTGAATCCGTTAAAGCTCTTTTTCCTTATAAATTACCCAGTCTTGGGCATGTCTTTATCAACACCATTAAAGCTCTTTTTCCTTATAAATTACCCAGCCTTGGGCAGGTCTTTATCAGCAGCATGAGAACAGGCTAATACAGATACTATATTGCAGTCACTATGTTCCTACTGCACCACTGAATATTGGTGCGATGGGCAGATAATTTTTTGCCAGACCATGATGATCCACACTGGGCACACTGGGATCTGACAGAGCCAAATGCACAACATGCAAAGATCTTTAACCTTGAGCTGGAGATTCTAACTGCATTGCACTTTGGGGTGTGTGCATTGGGAAGGGTGAAGGGTCTTGTGTGACAGGAAAGATGAAGTGAATATTTGGGGAATCAGTGGAGCAGGCTGGAGGAGACTGATAGTTTCTTACTCACTCTTTTTTTTTGTAGCAGAACCCTGAGGTTTTTTTTAACTGGGCATATTACCTATTGAATAAGCAGTGGAAAAACACTTGATTTTTTTTTTTAACACTAGTTAAGTGCAGTAGTGAGAAGTGGGGAAAGAATAGAACAAGGAAGTCGATCTGTCACTGACTGGGAACAATCAATTGAGGTAACTCACTACCTTATGGACCAGCCACAGTTGAAAATTTTGATTAGAATAATGCTTTAGGAAGATGACTCCAGCAACAGCAGATAGTCTTCATTAAAGGAGGGAGAGACTAAAAGGACAGATTCCGGATAGAAGGCTGTTGCAACATTCGAAGAAGAAGGAATGAGACCTAAACAAAGCTGGACACAAAATGAAAAGGGCTATGGGGACAGAGACTTGCAAAGTTGATGCTGCTCGATTTGGTGCAGAGGAAAGGAAAATACAAAATATGACTCCATGATCCCATTTAAATGTCCAGTGAGTGGTCATGTCACAGAAACAGGGAAACAAAATGAAGAGCAAGACCAAACCAACCAAAATAAGCTCTGGTGTGAATACACTAAGTGTGAGCTGTTGGCAAGACACCCAGTTGGATTCTGACACGTATTTAAGAGTCATTGAGGACAGAGACGTAGACTGCAGACTGGAAAATTATCTGCCAAGGATAATAATTATAAGAGAGACGTCGAAAGGATCATCATGAGAAAGTTGTTAGAAAGAGTAGAAGGCCAAGAACTGCTTACCAAGATTGAAAAATGTATTTTCAGAAGTTATTTCTTGTTTGGCCAGTCAAGTCTGGAAGAGTGGTTCTCAAAGTGTGGTCCCTAGATCTATAGCCTCAGCATTATATGGTGTTACAGACTGAATTTTGTCCCCCTCAAAATTTATATGTTGAAGTCCTAACTGCCAGTACTTCAGAATATGACCATATTTGGAGACAGGGCCTTTAAAGAGATGATTAAGTTAATATGAGGTCAGTAGAATGGGCCCTAATCCAATGTGACTTTTGTCCTCATAAGAAGAGGATATTTGAATACCCAGAAGAGATACCAGGGATGCATATGTGCCCAGACAGATTACTGTATGAAGAGACAGCCATCTGCAAGCCAGGGAGAGGGGCCTCCTGGAAACCAACCCTGCTAGCACCATGATCTAGGACTTTGAGCCTCTAGAGCTATGAGATAATAAAGTTCTGTTGTTTAAGCCACCCAGTGTACAGTATTTTGTTATGGCAGCCCTAGCCAACTAAAACATATGGGAACTTACAAGAAACTTGTAAAGAACTTGTAAACTCTCAGGGCTCATCCAGAATCAGAAACTACTGGGGATGAGGCCCAGTAATCTGTATTCTAACAAACTCCGAGAGAGATTCTAATGCACTGCTAAATTTGAGAACCACTGCTCAAGAATATTATGGCTCAAGAACAGAGGGAGTTAAAGTAAATAATATTTTTTACTTTTACCCAGAGTTGTCATATTCTTTTTTAAAGAATTCTTTGTGGCTCATTCCTGTAATCCCAGCACTTTGGAAGGCCAAGGCAAGAGGATCGCTTGAGCCCAGAAGTTTGAGACCAGCCTGGGCAACGTGGCAAGACCCCGTCTCTACAAAAATAAATAAAAATTAGCTGGGCATGGTGGTGAGCACCTGTAGTCCCAGCTACTCAGGAGGCTGAGGCAGGAGGATCACTTGAGCCTGGGAGGTCAAGGCTACAGTGAGCTGTGATTGTACCAGTGTGCTCCAGCCTGGGTGACAGAGACCCTGTCTCAAAAAAAAAAATAAAAATAAAAAAGAAAGAAAGAAAGAAAAAGGAATCCTTTAAGCAGAAGTAGGCAGTAAGAGTGTCTTAATCAGCTTCAGTTTTCATTAAAATTAACTCTGGTAATAACATCAGTATCAACAAAAGCATTCATTATGTATGTGGCTACTGGCCCTCATACTACAGACCAGTAGTTCCCAAATTTTAGGATGCCAAAAAAACACTTAGAGAGGTTTTTAAAAATGCAGTTTACAACACTTCGATTCTACTGGTCAGCGTGGTGTCCAGGACTTAAACATCTTTAACAAATATCATTTAACCCTGATGCAGATGTTAGTAAACCACAAATTACTTTTCTCTTATTCATTCAAGGAGTAGAAAGAATAGAACTGCTCTCTGGATAAGTTGAAGCAGTTAAGAGATCAAGTAAGGAAATCCGAATGGCTCAGAAAGAATCTTCAAAATGCTATTTCATTTAAGCCTTAGTCTTCTCAAACGACCTTTTTCTCCATCTACTCCAGGTGATGATAATTGCAGGGACTCTGTAAAGCCAGTCATTCATCCTGGGAATAGTGACTTCAGAGGCTGAAATTTTAGGTAACAGGTTCTGACTCATGTTCCTCAAATTCTCCCACTACTTTCAGATGTCACAATTTTTGGTTCTAGTTGCATCTGAAGAAGCCACATCAAGGCAGGTCACTACTGGTAACACCAAACAAATTTGATTTTTTTGGATTTCAATCCTAGACCACTTCCTGTTCTCCAAATAAGGAGAATCTGTCATCTTCCTTAGTACTCTACTGCAATAAGATACAAAATTTCACTCTTTCATTCACTGCCATCATACTACATAACACTAGAGGGAATGCTCCATTTTACCACAAACCAAATCTAAAGCATATGCTCAAATATAGAATTAAGGCATGCAACATTTGGGGCTAAATAAATATCACTTATATTGAAGATATTTTGAAATATCATGTACTCTCCACATGGCTATAGGTAAATCAGTAAAAAAAATTCGTTAATAACTTAAATAGACAAGCAGATCCAGGCTGGGTGTGGTGGTTCACGTCTGTAATTCCAGCACTTTGCGAGGCTGAGGTGGGTGGATCACTTGAGGTCAGGAGTTTGAGACCAGCCTGGCCAAGATGGTGAAACCCCGTCTCTACTAAAAATACAAAAATTAGCCGGGTGTGGTGGTGGATACCTGTAATCCCAGCTACTCGGGAGGGCAAAGCAGGAGAATCGCTTGAACCTGGGAGGCAGAGGCTTCAGTGAGCTGAGATCGCACCACTGCCTGGGCAACAGAGCAAGACTCCATCTAAAAAAACAAAACAAAAAAAACAAGACGACCCAATCTTTTATTGGTAACAGTTCAATTCTATTTCGTCTCTCCTAAGCAGTGAATTCTAGTTACTTACTCAGTTTTTCAGATCTTATAGTCAAAATACTATTGTTGAAACATTTAATCATTTTAAAACTTCCTTTCTATAACCACCCTCCCACAGATGAAGTTTCTATTCAAAACTTCCAATGTTACAACGCAGAAGCTACTAAGGCAGGAGAATCACTCCCTGATCTCCATGGAATATGAGCCACGGGCCTTCCTTCCTGAGAAAAAGAGGCTTCCAATGGCCCAAATAGCCAGGTGTGGTGGTGATAGTGGTGCATTTTTTTGCGACCTGTGTGAATCCAACGCAGAAACCTGAAATAAAATATTAAATATTAACAAAAACTAACTTGAAGTTTTTAAGGAGTTTGGGTTAGTTTAGACAAGTAGATAAAAATGATGAAATCGGCTCAGAAACAAACAAGAGGATTAAAATTACATAGGAGAAGAAAAGAGAAGCCAATGAGGACTATGATTCACCCAGTTTACGGCTTTATTAAAAGTCTCTTTGTTGAAAACCAGAGCTGGCCTTTTTGAAAACCCCACAGGTTTCATCTTCAACCATGCTCTGCGGTTAAGGGAGAAACACATGAAACTGCATTATGGGCACCCATGCTGGGTGGAGTCATTGTGAAGCCAAGTCTCACAGCCGGTGGCTGGGCCTCATGTAATGAACTTGACCCTTAAACCACACAAGGATAACCCTTTTTTTCTATCTCTCTGTGTCCCTCTGCAACTCTCCCTGTCAGCCCTCCCTGCCCCTTCTGAAGGACATGCCACCTCTCCACGGTCCTGGTCCCATTTTGAGTAGCTGATTCTCTCACTTCGCCTGGGTGCCACTGGGCTTCCTACTGACTCTGTTCAGGGGAGCTTGCAGGTCCACGCCCTGCAAAAGGAGGAGGTTTGTGGGTGCTTGAACACCTGTTCACTGGGACTGCTAAAGTCCCTTCCAATCTAGTTTCCATGAGGAATACTTATTCTTCCTATTATGATGACTTTGACTTTACTCCTTGAGAAATAATGACCCTAGCCTTATCTTATCACAGTACACTCACCTTTTCCTGGCCTGGCTTCTTCGTGACAAAGGGTCTCACACTAACAGACAACACCTCTGCTTGAGCCATCCCAATGAGTGACACCGTTGTCACTTACTACCTTCCTACTGTCAAGTTTCTTCCTGGACTTTGAGGGTGAAGAGATATCTATGAAACACCTAGAATTCCAGAGGGAGCCACTTCCCTTACCATTGAAAAGCCAGCCATCTATTCTGGAATAGGAGTCCCGCAGCAGTAGACCTGGTGAAGGGCTTGACCTGACTGCTGGTAACAGGAGGACTGCTGCTCCCTAGGCAGGGAGGAAGAGGTGAGGGTAGCACTGCCACCTCTTGGAGACTTAGGTGGCCCCGAGAAGTCCTCACATAAGACATTGTGTTATCATAAAGTGGATGAAGAAAGACTGCTAGACCAGGCTGAAGAAGAAAAAGCATGATAAATCAGAAAATAATGATGCTAGGCCGGGCACAGTGGCTCATGCCTGTAATCCCAGCACTTTAGGAGACTGAGGCGGGTGGATCACCTGAGGTCAGGAGTTCGAGACCCACCTGGCCAACATGGTGAAACTCCATCTCTACTAAAAACACAAAAATTAGCCAGGTGTGATGGTGCACACCTGTAATCCCAGCTACTCAGGAGGCTGAGACAGGAAAATTGCTTGAACCTGGGAGGCAGAGGTTGCAATGAGCCGAGATTGTGCCACTGCACTCTAGCAGCCTGAGTGACAGAGTGAGACTCTGTCTCAAAAAAAAAAAGAGAAGAAAAGAATGATTGATTGAATGAGTTGAATGAGTATGACTATAAAAGGTCTAGAGTGAACAAAATAAAAGGCAAATCTTTTTTGTAATTATTTTTTTTGAAACAGGGTCTCTGTCACTCATGCTGGACCAGTGGTGAAATCACGGTTCACTGTGGCCTCAACCTCCCTGGCTCAAGGATTCCAGCACCTCCGCTTCCATAGTAGCTGGAACTATGGGCATGCACCACCACACCTGGATTTTTTTTTTTTTTTTTAAGTAGTAAAGATCTGGGACACCCTGTGTTGCCCAGGCTGGTCTCAAACCCCTGAGCTCAAGCGATCTTCCTGCCTCAGCATCCCAAAGTGCTGGAATTGAGCCACTGCACCCAGCTTAAAAGGCAAATCTATTGGGTGTTGCTTAAACAATCCTATTTAATTTATTCCACCAGTCAATCAATATGTATTAAGCACCGAGAATCAGTTCAGTGCTAGATGGTGAATCAGATAATAACAGTCCTGGCTCCCATGGGGATTATAGTGTTGGGAGAAAGAGACATTTAAAAATAATTATCCATGTACTTATACAACATTAAGTAGGAAAAGTGCAAGGTGCTATGCGCATGTGTAGCCTCAGTCATGGCCTGGGGAGGGGGCAAGGAAGGTGTCCCTGAGGAAGTGATGCTTCTACAAATGGGAAGCAGAAGGAGGCACTTAGCAGGTGTGGAGGGCGCAGGGGAGGAGCCTGTGGGAGGCTCTAAGAAGGAAGCAGGCTGGTGTGTTCTAGCAATTACAGCAAGGCCAGTGCTCTGTGGAGGGGTGAGCCAGAGAGACAGGGCCCTGCAGAAGAGACGAGCAGGAGAGACAGATAACCCTGGCCTCCCTTGCAGGACTCATGATGACTTAAGTCTTTACCCTAAAGATAATGGGAAGCCCGTCCAGATTCCAGCAGAGTGACTCCAGACTTGACCTCTAGTGCTGCTGTGTGGGGAAAAGGATTGCAGAGGGACACAGGTGGATGAGGGAAAACTCATTACAAGTAATTCCAGTGAGAGGTGAAGCTAGGTGGCTTGGGCTGGGAAAATGACTCTAGACTGATTCAAGAAACACTAGGTGCAAATGCAACCCAGATCATGTGCTTCCTCGCTTTCAGAACCATTCAATCAGTGGCTTTCCATCACGCTAGAATAAACATTCAAACTCCTTATCACAAGACACAGACCCTCGGATGATCTGGCCCCTGCATATCTCTCCAGCTTTACCGATACTGCTCCCCCACTGCTCACCACACTGTAGCAGTAGCCCATCGCTTGTTTCATTTCTTGAATTCTCCAAGTACCTTCCCTGTTATCCTTGTGGGGATTATAGTATTAGGAGAAACAGACAAGTTTGTTTGTTTGTTTTGAGACAGAGTTTCACTGTTGTTGCCCCAGGCTGGAGTGCAATGGTGCGATCTCAGCTCACTGCAACCTCTGCCTCCTGGGTTCAAGCGATGCTCCTGCCTCAGCCTCATGAGTAGCTGGGATTGCAGGCATGCGCCACCATGCCCGGCTAATTTTGTATTTTTAATAGAGTGGGGTTTCTCCATGTTGGTCAGGCTGGTCTCAAACTCCCAACTTCAGGTGATCCGCCAGCTTCGGCCTCCCAAAGTGCTGGGATTACAGGCATGAGCCCGGCCGAGACAGACATTAAAAATAATTATCCAAGTACCTACACCACACTAAGGAGGAAAACTGCAGGATGCTATGAGCGTGTGTAACTGCAGCCATGACCTGGGGAGGGGGCAAGGAAAGTGTCCCCAAGGAAGTGACGCTTCTACAAACTGGAAGCAGAAGGAAGCACTCCATGCATTTGTCTTCCACGTTTTCTCAAGGATGCATCCTCACTATTGATGTCCCACAATCTCATGTCCTCAAGGAGGTCACCTCTGTCCTCCATGTCCAAAGTACCCCCTTATCCCCTCTGTTCTCTGTTTCATTTATTCATTCATTCTATACCTATTTATTAAGCACCTACTATGTATGAAGCACTGGAAGATACATAGGTGAAAATAACAGTCTCTATTCTGGGAATCCTTCCTTGCCTGTACCAGGTGAAAAAAATTTCTGCCCTTAACAGGGTTTACATTCTAATAGAGGGGATGGCAGAGGGAGTGCACTTTAAAAACTGCAAACTTAAGGCCAGGTGAAGTAGTTCACACCTATAATCCAAGCACTTTGAGAGACTGAGATGGGAGGATTGCTTGAGTCCAGGAGTTCAAGACCAGCCTGGGCAACATAGCAAGACCCGCCCCCCGCCATCTCTACCAAAAAAAAAATTAATTAGCAGGCGTGGTTGTGCATACCTGCAGTCCCAGCTATTCAGGATGCTGAGGCAGGAGGATCGCTTGACCCCAGGAGTTTAAGGTTGCAGTGAGCTGTGATAGCACCACGGCACTCCAGCCTGGGTGACAGAGCAAGAGCCTGTCTCAAAACAAAACAAAACAAAAAAATGCAAACTTAATGTGTAAATTATAAATAGACTATGGGTACGTTAGAAGGTCAAAGGAGCTATGAACATAAGGGAGAAGGGGAAATGGGAGAGGCAGAATGGAGTGAGCTGTAATTTGAAACAGGAAAAATAGGGTAAGCTTCCTTAAAAAGAGGACACTGAGCAAAGACTTGATAGAAATGATAGTTACCCCCAAGTTGGCTTCCCTCACAGCATTTATTACAATTTCTAATGATCTATTGGTTTCTTTGTTTGGGTTTTGTCTACCTCCCTCACCCCACCTCACACACAATGGAATGTAAGTTCCATCAGGGCAGGGGCTATTGTGTGTCCTGTTCATTCTTGTATTCTTAGACCTTGGTGCAAACATTCTGTGTTAGAATGAGTCAATACATGAAAGAAGCAATGGTTAAAGTGTTCTCTCACTAGCTTCCATGCATTACTAAAAATACCGAGCAAGTGAAATCAAGGTGCTTGGTCAGAACCAACGCTGATGATTGATTGTCCCGGGTGCCCAGTATTTCTTTGGCACAGAATCATGGTAGCAAAGGCTTTTGTCTGCCTGCACATATTCTCCTTCTTCATCTTTCTGCTAACAAATTCTTCTTTGTTGTGGGAATCCTTCCTTACCTCCACCAGGTGAACATACTCCTTAGATTGGCCAAAGTTTTTCACTACTATGGCTACAAGAATGGACCCTAGCATGGGTATGTGGCCCAAACAGGGCTGGTGAGGAACTCCAGAAGCTGCACGGGATTCATAGGGGAAAGGCTCTCTTTTTTTTCCCTGGGAGTCCTCTTTACAAACAATGCAACCCGCCTGCTCTTCATTCTCTGCCTGAGAATGAACTCAATGCAGAAGATAACAGTGGCAAAAGAAGAACAAGAGAGATGGATTTATAATTGTCTGATATGAACTCCTGAATCCATTCTTTCCCAAAGCCAAGTTCACGCTTTTTTTTTTTTTTTTTTTTTGAGACAGAGTCTTGCTCTGTTGCCCAGGCTGGAGTGCAGTGATGCAATCTCGGCTCACTGAAACCTCTGCCTTCCGGGTTCAAGTGATTCTCCTGCCTCAGCGTCCCGAGTAGCCAGGACTATAGGCATGCGCCACGATGCCCGGCCTCTATTTTTAGTAGAGATGGGGTTTCACCATGTTGGCCAGGCTGGTCTCAAACTCCTGACCTCAAGTGATCTGCCTGCCTCGGCTTCCCAAAGTGCTGGGATTACAGGCCACTGCACCTGGCCCAAGTTCACACTTTGAACTTCTCAGCTAGGTGGGAACTTAGAGTCTTTATCAAATAAATAAAGTTGCCACTTACAACTAGAATCTTTATTAAATATATCTATCAACCAAAAGTTTAAGAAGATATAATCAGGAAACTAAGAGGGTATTTTTTTTTCTTCTTTAAACTATTCATCTTCTAATGAAACAAGTAAGTGCTGAGTTAACATCTGATGGCCTGGTTATAATGTGATCATGATGAATTCTGTACAAAATAAAGATCTGTGCATTCAATGCATTCTATTGTCTACTGTTCCCCAGTTCTGTGTTAGGAGCTGGGTATAGAATGTGGTGTGACAGACAAATCTTTGTCCTTGTTTGGCGAATATAAACAGTAATAAATTTCATGTGAGATGGTAGAAATGAAGCAGCTCCAGATGTACTGGCAGCTGAAGTAGGGAGCCCAGCCTAGCCAGCAGGGATCAGAGGGGGTGCTCAGGGGACCCCTCAAGGGGAAGGGATGGCCTAATGCAAGATCTGACTGAACTATTACTAGGATTTTCTCAGAGGAAGGCAGAGGAAAGTGGGTGGGGGAAGGGTTTTAGTCGGAGAGAAGGGCATCTCAAAGACATAGAGCCAGGAGGATCTTAGGTCAGTGGTGTTCATGTGTGATGATAACTGCAGAGTCTTGGGGAACATCACAGAACCACACAGACCTTGTAAAGGTCACATATTCAAGCTGCAGCATCTACACCTGGTTACACTTCACCTTGTCAAATCACACACTCACAATTTTATCCCACATTCTATCTTTTCCCATTTTTTTATTAAACATATATAATTAGGATGGGTCACTTATGAAGAATAGTATTTAGTAGTCTCATCACAGAATAATACAAATGAACACATTTCTATCAAAAGCTGTAAATGGCCAGGCACAGTGACTCACAGCTGTAATCCCAGCACTTTGGGAGGCCGAGGTGGGCAGGTCACTTGAGGTCAGGAGTTCAAGACCAGCCTGGCCAACATGGCGAAACCCCTTCTCTACTAAAAATACAAAAACTAGCCAGGCATGGTGGTGCGTGTCTGTAGTCCCAGCTACTCAGGAGGCTGAGGCAGGACAATCTCTTGAACCTGGAAAGCGGAGGTTGCAGTGAACCGAGATCATGTCACTGCACTCCAGCCAGGGTGACAGAGTGAGACCCTTTCTCAAAAGAAAAAAACAAAAATACAGATTCCTTGGTCCCATTCCTGACTTACTTAAAATCAGAATTTCTAGGGATGGGACTTTGGAATTTGTATTTTAAAAAAATAAATAAATAAAGCTGTAATGTCCTAACATACAAGCTGTGTTTATAACTTTATTGAAGTAATTCCTATATAATCTTTCTGAAGACAAGGCTTCAGCTGCATGGCATGTAATCTAAACTAGACAAAGGTTATACTTCCCACCCTCTATAGAAACTTACAATCATATATTCCAATAATAAGATTCTGTAGAGATGAAGTGGTTGTTTTGTATAACAAGATCGTATATCTTCCAGCTAGAATAAAATGAGGTTTTGAAAACAAAGTAATTACATTGTTAAATGGGACATAGAAAAGACATTTCGCCTCCTAAGAATGTTTGTTATGAATTTAAACAGAAAATATTTTTATGGGAACAGCAATAATAAGTTATGAACAATTCTATTTTGAAAAGTTTTTTTAATGAATCAATGTTTTTGCTTGCAAAGAACATTCTTCTAACTTGATATGTTAATGTTCTATAATATATCTTTTAGTTGAAATATTGCATCACTCACTACTTCTATTTTGCCTAGCAAAGGACAAATCATTTTAATTTTGTGCAAACCACACATCTGTTTTATATGAGAGATCACTATTTCTCACTTGCTAAAAATATATACAAGACAAAAACAGCCTCCCAAAAACTACCCGGCTACACATTTAGCCCTACTACAAACATTCTGTGGTCCTTGAATTGAGCAAATCACCAACTAAATTGGCAAATGTTAATATTGCTGTCTGCTTTTCATAGAAAGAAGTGCTCTGTTTCTGTTGGACACGTTTTCAGGAAAGTGAGGTAATCCTCAATTTTTCCCTAGGAAAGTAAGCCTGGGGCATGCTCAGAAGTGGCTTGGTGAGGCCATTGTTTGAAGGTAAAAGGAGGTGGTTAGTGGTATGATGAAACTGAGATAAGACTGAACGCAAAGGCAATCAGTAAGAATGTTCAAAGTCATTGACGTCAATTAGACTTTTACCGAAGAAATGACTATAGTATGTGGCCTCTGGATTAATAAATCATTATTGATCAAACAGCTCTTCCTTCCCCTTCTCACCACCTGGCCGTTCAAATAAAAAGTACCTTCTTCCTTATGCCCCAAGTCCAAAAAAAAAAAAAAAAAAAAAAAGGAAAGGGGAGTGTTTTAAAATACTTCCAATCTTTTCCTATACTGGTTGTAAAACATGATCTGAATGTCCTTCAATATCTACTTCTTGAAGGCAATCAAAAAATAAATTAAGTGAATTGACGGGATGTCTTTGCCAATGCTCACATTTCATGTCATATGTTTGTGATCACAATTATGCCGAAGACCAGTGCTCTCATTCCTTCCCTGAAGCTGTGGTTCCTCAAGTATGAAGGGAATGAGTTACATTCCTTGTAGGTTCTAGCCATTTCCCGTTTCTCAATTAAGAAACTTGCAGGTTACTGGGCCGGGCGCAGTGGCTCATGTCTGTAATCCCAGCACTGTAGGACGCCAAGGGAGGAGGACTGCTTGAGTCAATACTAGCCTGGGCAGCATAGTAAGACCTCATCTCTACAAAAGATAAAAAATTAACCAGGCATAGTGGCATACACCTGTGGTCCTAGCTACTCAGGAGGCTGAAGCAGGAGAACTGCTTGAGCCCAGGAGTTCGAGGCTGCAGTGAGCTGTGATTGTGCCACTGCAGTCCAGCCTACGCAACAGAGCAAGACCCTATCTCAAAAAAAGAAAAAAAAGAAAAGAAAAAGGAAAGAAAGAAACAGCGATTACTAACAACCTGGGCTTCTGGAACTTCCTGATCTTTCCCCTAGTACCTGACAGAGAAAGTAGCCCCCAAAGACATTAAATGAAAAGCGGGAAGAGCTGAGATCTTAGGAAAATCTTGGCTTAATGAAATCACTCTAGTATGCCAGAGATACATTGGAAAATATTTTGTTCTCTTTATCACTTATTCAGCAGCTTATTTGTTAATTATTTTGTAATTACTAATTAGTTCGTCCTCTCCCAATTTCACTTCACTGTTTTGCATTGACTAAGACGAGAAGATGCATTTTGTCTACTTTACATTAGTGAAACTGAGAGCCAAGAGATTTCACTGAAGTAGTCAATGCTATGACACTGGGGATGGAAGTAGCCCTAACCCCAATTCTGGTCATGCTTTCTATGTGGAATCTCTGAATTCATAATGGTAATACCTCATATTTACATAGCATTTTCATAGTTTCCAAATGCCTTCAGTGGGTTTGTCTTATTTAATCTGAACAATAGCCCCCTGAAAAATACAGCAGACACTATTCATTCCCATATTCGGAGGAGAAAAATGAGACTTCAGAGAGTCTATGTAAGAACCCAGATCTGGTTCCAAATCAAAAGATTTGAAGCTTTAGGTCTAAATAATGTCATGCCCTGAAAGAAAATTCAAATGAATCCACTTTTTGCCATCACCACAGCCCAAATTATGGCCCATATCATCATCATTTTGATTCTCACAGTTCTGACTTGTAATTACATCATCTCTTACATCGACTCTTTTTTTTTTTTTTTTTTTGAGACAGAGTCTCGCCCTGTCACCTAGGCTGAAATGCAGTGGTATGATCTTGGCTCACTGCAACGTCCGCCTCCCAGGTTCAAGTGATTCTCCTTCCCCAGCCTCCCGAGTAGCTGGGATTACAGGCGTGTGCCACTACACCCAGCTAATTTTTGTATTTTTAGTAGAGACGGGATTTCACTATGTTGGTCAGGCTGGTCTCGAACTCTTGATCTCGTAATCTGCCCTCCTCAGCCTCCCAAAGTGCTGGGATTACAGGCGTGAACCACCGCGCCCAGCCACATCGACTCTTACATAGTCATCTTTGACTCTTACAGTTCTGACATGATGCCCCTCCCTGTCTCCATTCTTCCCCTTAAGGCATGCACTGCCAGCTGATCTTTTGATGCTATTTGTCAGATCATATTACTGCCTTGCTTGGAACCCTCCAACAACTTCTTTCTTATTGCAGGTAGAATTAATCTAAGCTCCTCACCATGGCCTAAATGTCTTCCATGATCTACCTCCGGAGCACCTCTCCAATTTCAGGTGGTGCCTGCCGCATGGGTCCTCTCTGCTCTTGAGCACAGTAAACTAACTCATTCCACTTGAGAGCCAGTGCACGTGTTCTTCTGTTTGCCTAGAACATGAGTTCCTGGGTCCCAGGGCTCCTCATCATTCAGGCCAGTTCACATGTCATGTCCAGGCCTTCCTTGACTAAATCACTCTCCTTTACCCTATTACCTGGTAGGATTTCTTGATAGCATGGCTATCTGGAATTATCTTACTTGTTTATTTTCTCTTTCCCCTCTCCACACACATGTCCTATTTCCTAGTATCTTTTATTCCTAGCATCTTGACCTAGTATGTAATTGACATCCAATATAATCTTTTGAATGAATTTGTGAAAAACATATGGTATGCATTTTTATATCTATGCTATAGATGTACCTAACTATTTAATTGTATGGACACAAATCATGTATTTTATTAATTCCCAGCTTATGGACAATTGGGGTGTTTGTAATTTTTGCTACTATAAGCCACATAGAAACAGACAGCTTTGTTCTTACAACTTTGTGCATTTGTTCCATTCTGTAGGGTCAATAGGGACACAGGTTTTGAATCTTTTTTTTTTTTTTTTTTTTTTTTGAGATGGAGTCTCGCTCTGTCGCCCCAGGCTGGAATGCAGTGGTGCGATCTCAACTAACTGCAACTTCTGCCTCCCCCGTTCAAGCAATTCTCTTGCCTCACCCTCCCAAGTAGCTGGGAATACAGACACCCGCCACCACACCCAGCTAATCTTTTGTATTTTTAGTAGAGACAGGTTTTCACCATGTTAGCTAGGATGGTCTCGATCTCTTGACCTCATGATCCACCCGCCTCGGCCTCCCAAAGTGCTGGGATTACAGGTGTGAGCCACTGTGCTGGGCCAAGGTTTTGAGTTTTGACAGCTACTACCAAATAAGTAATATAGTTTTTCTTTTCAAATTGAATTCTTTCCTTCCTCTTCTAATATCGCCTATTAATACATACAAATAAGGCTTTCTTTATCAACAAAAATGATATATCAGCTTTCCATTTTATCATGTGGACAAAATTCCACAGTGTCAATTGATTTGTCACACGATTCCATGTCATGATCAGGAGTAATACATACATACTAAAAACTTTGTAAAACTTAACTTGTGAACTTTTTTATGAGAAATCGCTAAGCAAATTTACACATTTTCAATCGCCTATTGAGGCTCTAATTCTTCCTGGTTTTATTTTGCTGTGCCCAGTCATCTCTTAATAGTATTTAAATCACTTAGAAAGACTCTAGTCTGTAAATCTGATTTTTATTGCTTTTATAATTACCCCCCAAAATGACAGAAAAAGAAAAGAAACTGTAATACTTGAAGAATTAACAAAATTGACTGCATTATCTTGCCCAATTAACTCTTGTTTCTGAAGCCTGCGAGAACTCCTCAAGAGCTTTGTCAATCAGGTTTAAATCTCAGGTAAATCCAAATTCTCATTTAAAGTATTCAAAAGAAAATTAAGCATCAATATGGCCTCACACTTGCCCTGCTGGGAGAGCTGGCACTCTCCAATTTCAATTACTCAGTTTCTTTTCATGAAATGTGTTTTTAAATCTCAGGGGAATATAATCTTTTGTGGTTAGATTGATCTCACTTGTGAAGAAAGTTCTCTACAACTTTGCCGAGGTTGCTTGCTAGTGCCAAAACGACATTGCAACACCTTAACTCTCCTTCCCCTTAATGCAAGCCACCATTTGTTTTTTTGTTTTGTTTTGTTTTGAGACAGGGTATTGCTCTGTTGCCCAGGCTGGAGTGCAGTGGTCCCATCACAGCTCACTGCAGCCTCAACTTCCTGAGTTCAAACAATCCTCCCACCTCAGCCGCTCAAGTAGCTGGGACTACAGACATGTATACCAGGTCTGGCTAATTTTTTATTTTTTATAGAGATGAGATCTCACTATGTTACCCAGGCTGGTCTCAAACTCCTGGGTTCAAGTGATTCTCTCACCTGGGCCTCCCAAAATTCTGGGATTACAAGTGTGAGCCACCACACCCACAGACCGCCTTTTGATCACATGTTCATCATGCAAATGGATAAACAGCGCAATTTTGCACTGGTATTTGTGATATAAACATTATTGCTCACACTGAAAATTTGGAGTTAACCAAAGTTCCAATCAACTAGTTGTTTGCTCCTCCTTGAAACAGGTGGAAAAAAAAATAAAGACCAAGGTTTCAGTGCTAAATAGTTGGTTCCCATATGAGATATATTTTTGGTACTGAATTTTTTAAAATTTCTTGAAAAAACAGTTTTAGTCTTTTTTCTAAGTGACAGTTAATAAAACACAAATTCATATTACTAATAAGTAATTTAGTTATTTTTTAAATCTTCCTTTGGTATATCAGGGTCAAAATGTGATTGGTTGGTTGATTTCTTTGTTGTTTTTTCTAAATGTATATATTCTATACTAGAGGTACCCACTGAATTCAAATGGTTCTAAATTGCTGTGGTCTTTCCTAGTCATATGACTTGAACCTTAGTCTCTACTGTGAAGTGAAAACAAAATGGAAGTAAATGACCTCAAAACTGCCCCATGGGCCGGAAGCAGTGGCTCACGCCTGTAATCCCAGCTCTTTGGGAGGCTGAGGTGGGCAGATCACGAGGTCAGGATATCGAGACCATCCTGGCTAACATGGTGAAACCCCGTCTCTACTAAAAATACAAAAAATTAGCCAGTCGTGGTGGTGGGCGACTGTAGTCCCAGCTACTTGGGGGGCTGAGGCAGGAAAATTGCTCAAACCCAGGAGGCGGAGGCTGCAGTGAGCCGAGATCACGCCACTGCACTCCAGCCTGGTGATAGAGCGAGACTCTGTCTCAAAAAGGAAAACAAACAAACAAACAAACAAACAAACTTCCCCATGGCCAGGAGGGCTAACACTTGAGCAATCTCAGGAGCCCAGGACCAACCAGTGTTTAAAGACTTCCCCATGAGATGTGGGGCATTTGCCACAGCTGGGAAAGATGTGAGCTGAATTTCTCACTGTGATTCAGAACTTACTGGCCATTCCAGATTAGTACAAAAATTCAAAGGAACACGTCCTTTGAACATAAAAATCCCATCTTCCATTTGTAAAGAAAACCCCGAAATATGCTTTTTCTCTGCCATTAAAGTTCTGACTGTACTTAGAAAATGATCTTTACTCCTGGTCTATAGAGTTCTAGTTAAATTTTTAACAGTATCCCTAAAACACAAAAATTTGTATCTCTTATTTTGAAATCTTCTAAGAAAATCATTTTCATTCATTATGAAGGTGTTGGACTGGACACATGTAAAGTTCTTTCTTGCTCTAGTCTCTGCTGTTCCTTTGTGCTCATCCAATAAGCACTTACTAGGCATTTTTTGTGTACCAATAACATACAAGATGTCTTGAGATATTTAAAAGGATAAAGCCCTTGAGAAGCATACACTACCTGTTTTCACTCCAATTTTATTCCTACACACACAATGCAAGTATGTGCCTCTTAAACTTCCCCAGCCTTATCAGCTGTCAACCTTTCACCTAAAAGTTTTCAAACACATTTCCATTTTCCTGCGCCCAAGAACCCCTTATATCACTGAGTTCTAAGTCTTTATTTACTGCCAGAATTATATCAGAGAATCTTGACTCTTTCACTTTTGTTGCGAAACTTCAGGTTGACTCTTGAGGTAGGAAAATTACTGAGAACTTACCATTTGATCCTCATAATAGCACGGTGACCCTGGAGACACCAATCCAATGATTCAACACCACTGGGCGCTTTTTTCTGAACTTACAGTGCTCACAGAGATCACAGTCTAATGAGAGAGAGAGGCAGTTCAAATAAAATGGGAACAATAGGAGCTTTAGGAGCCAGAGGAGGAATCTCTGCTTCAGAGGGGATGCCACGATCTGGGGAGGCTTTTGGTGGAACAGGGCCCGAGCTGAGGTTGGAACAAGATGTATGTATTGATTGACTATAGGGAGAAAGGTAAGCAGAAAGAGTACAAATGCATTCCAAACAAGGGAAGCAACAGTCATTCAACAAATATTTGTATTAGACACTACAGACCTAGTGGTGCCAATATAATCCATTAATTACATTTATGTTTGGGGTTACAAAGGCACAGAACAGATTATAGCCAGGCTACCACACTTTCTGAACCCTACTCTGTTGCCAAGTGATGTTCTAAGCATTATATTTATAATTCCTCACAACTAATAAGGAAACAGGCACAGAGAGGCCAAGTTGCTTGCCTGCAGTTACACAGCTGGTAAAGAATAGAGCCAAATTCAAACCCAGACAGACTGACTCTTAACCATAAAAAACAGAAATCAGTAGTTGGAGGAGGAGTGGGATCTAGATGGACCAAGGAAAGTTTTGATAAAATGGTGATGGAATAATTAGTAGGACTTAACCAGATAAGGAGATGGAAGAAGAATGCGCCAAGGGAAGTACAGCCCTGGAGGGATTACTTCTTTTCTGACCACTGCACCCCACCACCAAGTCTGTTATAGATATGCTGCTGCTGAGCTCTTAGAGCAATGAGGCTGCAGAGCTTTGGAGATTTTATTCTAACAACAAAGAGCACCCAGTGAAAAGCTTTAAGAAGAACAAGATTAAATTTGTACTTTTAAGAGATCACTGTCGCTGTTGAATGGAGAACACATTGGATGGAGGCAAGATTAGGGGCAGGAAAACTAGTCAGAACGCTATTTTAGTTGAATTCGATTAAGATGTGGTGGTGGCTTCCATCGGAGTGGTGGCACAGAAAGGTATTAGACAGATTTGAAAAAAAAAAACATAGGAGGTAAAAAAAAATAGGAGGTGCACTAAAAAGGAAACACAGGAGAAGAAACAGGTTTGCAAGGAAGAGCATGACATGATCATATGGTTCTGTATGACCCCAGTGAAGGGTGAGTATCAGTGTGGATGCATTTTGGAGAGGTGAGACTAGAGAAAGGCAGTCCCTAGACCATGAAAGGCCTTGTGTGTTAAGCTAAGGAGTATAAATTTCCTCCTGAAAGCTAAGATCTGTGACGACACGTTTTCTTTTTCTGTGTAAATTGCATATATATATATATATTCTATATATATTCTATATATATATTCTATATATATTCTATATATATTCTATATATATATTCTATATATATTCTATATATATACTATATATATATTCTATATATATTCTATATATATTCTCTATATATATTCTATATATATTCTATATATATATTCTATATATATTCTATATATATATTCTATATATATTCTATATATATTCTATATATATATTCTATATATATTCTATATATATTCTATATATATATTCTATATATATTCTATATATATATTCTATATATATTCTATATATATATTCTATATATATTCTATATATATATTCTATATATATTCTATATATATATTCTATATATATTCTATATATATATTCTATATATATTCTATATATATATTCTATATATATTCTATATATATATTCTATATATATTCTATATATATATTCTATATATATTCTATATATATATTCTATATATATTCTATATATATATTCTATATATATTCTATATATATTCTATATATATTCTATATATATATATATATATATATATATATTCTGAACAATTTTAGATTTACAGATAAACTCTAAAAATGGTCTGGTCCAGATAGTTCCTGTGTATCCTTCACTCAGTTTTTCCTAATGTTAAGATCTTTTTTTGTTTTGTTTTGAGACAGGGTCTCTCTCTATCGCCCAAGCTGTAGTGCAGTGGCACGATCACAGCTACTGCAGCCTGGACCTGCCAGGCTCAAGCGATCCTTCCATTTCAGCCTCCCGAGCAGCTGGGACTACAGGCAGGTGCCACCATGCTAGGCTAATTTTCTTACTTTTTGTAGAGAGAGAATCTCTACACAGGAAGACTGACCTGAAGGCTCACCAGTGTCTTTATCCACCAGGTATCATGGGATATCACATTGTGTTAAAAGGGTGGTAAAACAACATCCATTCTGACCCTACTGTCTAATTGAGAATTTGTAAGTTTTTTACAGTGGCCAGATTTACCTGATCATTACCATTATAATGGTCAGATTAATCATGATCTCATAGCAATTTTTTGAATTCTACATTTTAAGTATTATTCCCAGTGAATGAAAAACCTCTATTTTCACTCAGCAAAGGTAATGTCTGGATCATAACAATTTCCCAATTCTATCTAAATATTAATTTTAGTAGACAATCTTATAACTTAAATCTATTTCTTAGGAGAGGAACAATAAGTACTTCTTTTTAGACATGGTTTCTTATGAGTATTAAAAATAAGATAAAATAACTTTTTCATCATTAGTTTTAGAAACCATATATGAAATGGCACATTTTCATAAGTAGAGTTCCTTTGCCAAGATGCCTTAGTCTTGCAGGGTGGAGGAACAGAGAATGAGCCAGAGGCTTAGAAACTACTGAAGCACTGAAGTTAAAATTTGGTTCATTGATACAGTCTGGTGATATCAATTGGTAATTACACTTTTTGGATAAATGTCAGAATAAAACATATAGATAATTGTATGTTTCCTGATCTAGTTAAAGTGTAATGTTCTAAAGAGCGCTCTTCCCAATAAACATTCTCTTATTACAATTACAAAAAAATCCAAAAGAAAAATAAAAAGGGAGAGGGGAAAAAAAAAATCCCAGAATAGGAACGCAGAGGACAAGATGGGCAGCAGCAGAGAGACCAGATTGGGGACTATTACAGGAAAGAGTTCAGGGGAAAGATGCTGGTGGCCTGAACTTGATAACAGAGAGATGTAAGAAGAGATCCTTGTGGATGGAATTCACAGGCCATGGAAACTGACTAGATAGAGGGCTCAAGAGGAGAGAAGAGTTTCTGGCTTCTGTCTTAGCAACTTGTGGGTGGTGGTACCATTCATAGAACCAGGGAGCCCCAAAGGAACAGCAGGTTTGAGGAGAGGGATGAATTTAGCTGTGGACTCACAGGCAATGGGATATTGCCTCTGATACTGCTGCTTCTCTTCAGTCCTTTCTAACCTTACGCTTTTAGGTGATCTTCCTCTTTTTGCTGTAATTCTCTGACCACTTATTCAACATTCTTTTCTAAAATTCTTAATTATGCCTCCTGTAGATCCTGTATTATCATGAAATAGTGAGTATTCAGATTGCCGCCTTTGTTTCTAGCTTCATGACCATGATACATTTGTTAAAACCAAAACCAACATTGGTACACTACTATTAAATAAACTCAGTTTTCACCAATTTTTTTCACAAATGTTGGGTTTTTCCTGTTCCAGGATCCAGTCCAGGATAGGTTTCTCTACTTTTCATGGGAAAAGCAGAGTGCAAAATTCTCAGCCTACCTTTGCCACTTCCCAGAAATATAAATTTAAAATTAAATAAAAAGCTCTGAAATGTATCTTCATTCATGAAATAAAAATAATATTAATACGACTTCTACTTTATCCAGATCATTTTGTAAGAATCACAAATGTAGTATATGGGTGCCCTGAAACACTTTGAAATATTTAAAGCTGTACAAACATAAGGCTGAATTTTTGTGAGTTAATTCTGATTCTATCATTTACTGCTGATAGGAGTAGAACTGGGATGTGGTTGAATAACACAACTAGATAATCAAAGCATTATGTATGTTTGGCTTAGAAATATACTTTTTGAGAACATTTATATTTAAATACAGGTTCAGTTATGCAGGATGAATAAGTTCTGGAGATGTAATGTATAGCCTGGTGACTATAGTCAATAATACTGTATCATGTACTTGAAATTTGCTAAGAGAGTTGATCTTAAGTGTAAAATAAACTATGTGAGGTGATGGGCAAGTTAATCAGCTTGATTGTGCTAATTATTTAACAATGTATACATCTATCAAAACATTATGTTTAATGCTTTAAATATATACAATTGGCTGCACGTGGTGTCTCACGCCTATAGTCCCAGCTACTCGGGAGGCTGAGACAGGAGGATCTCTTGAGCCCAGGAGTTCGAGGCAACAGTGAGCGATGATCATGCCACTACACTCCAACCTGGGCGACAGTAACACCCTGTCACTAAATAAATAAACAAATACAAGTTTTATTTGTTAAGTATACCTCAATAAAGCCACAAGTAGGGGAAGAAAGAAAAAAAATAAATAGGAGTATATGCAGTATCTATATTTATATAGATACATCCATATTTATATACAAATCCTGGCAATTTAGTTCAAACAAAATATTTATATGCATATATTCTTTGTGTGTGGTGTGTGTGTGTGTGTGTGTGTGTGTGTGTGTGTGTGTGTTTGTTTTTCTTTTTTCTTTTTTTTTTTGAGACTGAGTCTTGCTCTGTCACCCAGGCTGGAGTGCAATGACCCCATCTCGGCTCACTGCAACCTCTGCCTCCCAGATTCAAGCGATTCTCCTGTCTCAGCCTCCCACGTAGCTGGGACTACAAGCACACACCACCAAACATGGCTAATTTTGGTATTTTTTGTAGAGATGGGGTTTCACCATGTTGGCCAGGCTGGTCTCGAACTCCTGACCTCAGGTGATCCACCTGTCTCAGCTTCACAAATTGCTGGGATTACAGGCGTGAGTCTCCAAGCCCAGCCTCATATATTATTTTTTTAGAATAGCTAAGACCACAACACTATGCCCAACTAATTTTTTAATTTTTTTGTAGAAGCAGGGTCTCCCTATGTTTCCTAGGCCGGTCTCAAACTCCTGACCTTAAACAATCTCCTGCTTATGCCTCCCAAAGATATTTATAAATTCTAGCGATTTAGTTCAAAAAATATGGATGCCAAACTGAAGACACACCCAGAAGGTGCTAAGATGCCCATTCTCTTCCTTCTGATCCCACTCAGCTCCTTTCTATGAACAATTTCATCCTGGGAAAGAACAAGCCAATGCCCACCTTCATTCCCCAAGCCAAGGACACCCACCCTTTCTCCAAGGCTCCTTCAGATGGCTTCAGTATGTGGGTTTCAGAAAACCACTTAATGAGATGCAATGAGAAGAACAGCATGAAAGTTCATAAATCTTTACCTACTTGAGCACGCCCCTGAAAAACAAATTAAGCCAACTCTTATATGAGCTGTTAACAGATGTGACAGCAAGATGTGCTTGCAGCAATAAAGCAGAATGCCCATCAGAAGAAAACCATTTCACATCTATAACTAACTGCCACATCAGCCTCCTCACCTGCTTCCTTCCTCAGCCTTTGACCTGCTGGATAGCTCCTCTTAGATGACTATATCCAATGAAACAACAATATCTTCAATTTCAAGCCGAATATATAGTCTGTGTCTACAAGGGCGTAAAATTCATGTCACTTGCTTTCCGAGGCTTCTTATCTTCTTACTGTCATTTTCCCTTTGCTCACGTTTTTCTCAACCCTAATTTTTACTTATTTTTGATCTTATGATGTGTGTACCTTCATAAACCATCCTTGTAAACCATGTTTTTATGGTAGGCAGACTATCATAAAACAATCTTTGTGAACTATCTTCACAAATCCTTTTAGGAACAAGACAAAGTAAAATGTATAAGTGAACAAGAACAAATAAATAGATAAATAATTGGCACTATGTTCACTTTTCTTTCCCCAAGGTTCAGCCATTTTCCTTTCCCAAGGCATGAGCGCCACATAGAGTTTTCAGCATCCGTCTCTCCCTGCCCCGACCCTCCCCGCCCCGACCCTCCCCGCGAAAATACATATTCACCCCCCTCATGACAAATATATATGTAACTTCCTGCCTAAGTACTATCTATAATTCATCTTCACAAATGTCATCTTATTTCATCTTCCCCAGGCTCAGAAAAGTTAACGTATTTAAGTATATTCAGAATAAGTGGAGGAACCCAAATTTGAACCCTGGTCTATCTGACTCAAAATTTTATGGTCTTTCCACCGCTCCACCCAACTTTCTGATCTCAGGGGGTGTGACATGTACCAGGATTGAAACACTACACTGTGAGCCTCTCATCCTTGTTTATTTCCAGTGCCACCCTTGCTGGAATCAGCCTGGGTGACATTTCTGCAGCCTGTCTCCTCGTCTCCATAAATCCTCTGTCTCCAGCTTCCAACTTTCTCTTACTACAGGCAGTGTAAAACACTTTGCCAAAAAAGAAATTTATCCATGACATTCTGCGGAGTATTCAATTCCTGTGCCCAGGCTATTCTGTAATCTACCAATATCAGTTTGAATTTAAGAGATGACTTCATTTTTTTTTTACTCTAGACCTCAATTCTCAATTCTTCCTTGAATTTTCAGATCTCTGTGGAATATCTCTACTGGCTATTTTTATTATTACCCTAAACTTCAGTTTGTATTCCCTATAATTAATCTCCCTTTATCTATTCTATCAGTGAGATAAGATTTCCATTCTCCTAGAATAAACATTTTAGATTCCTTGTGTGTGTGTAGACAAAATGGAACTAGTGAGTTTAATGGTCACTCAATGCATCAAAACATATTTTAGATTAGCCACTTCAGCACATGCCTCCACATTAGTCAAAAACAGACTTCCAGAATATTATTCAGTCATTAAAATAATTAAGTACTGATATATGCTACACAGTGAATGAATCTTGAGAACATTATGCCAAATGAAAGAAGTCAGACACAAAAGGTCACAAGCTGTATGAGTCTATTTGTATGAAACATCCAGAATCCATGAATCCATAGAGACAGAACACAGATTGGTGATTTCCAGAGCTGGAGAGAGAGAACAGGGAGCAACTGCTTTTAATAGGTAAGGAGTTTGTGAACGTACTAAATACCACTGAATTGTTCACTTTAAAATGGTTCATTATGGCCAGGCATGGTGGCTCACGCCTGTAATCCCAACACTTTGGGAAGCTGAGGCGGGCAGATCGCTTGAACTCAGGAGCTCGAGACCAGCCTAAGAAACACAGTGAAACCTCATCTTATTGAAAAAATATATTTAATAAATAAATAAAATGGTTCATTTTATGTTATATAAATTTCACTTCAATAAACTATTTTTTTAAATAAGCTTCCAGCAAGTGCACGAACCTCCAATAGCTTCCTATTTCATTTTATTCTATCCTCGACTGACAGAGTCATAAATACCCCTACACATCAACACTCACCTCCTCAACAAACTTCACAAGTGCCCACCTGGCCTTATCTCTCGGGCCAGGAGTCTCAATGTCCACCTAAAATTCTCCAACGTCCATCCCAAGCCTCCTTCAGCTTGTTCTTGCTTCTCTATGCATCTCTCTTTTCTGAACTCTTTCTGCATTCAAAAGAAGACATACATGCAGCTTGCAACCATAGGAAAAAAAATCTCGACGTCACTGATCATTAGAGAATGCAAATCAAAACCTCAATGAGATACCATCTCACACGAGTCAGAATGGTGATTATTAAAAAGTCAAAACATAACAGGGCCAGGCACAATGGTTCACACCTGTAATCCCAGCACTTTGGGAGGCCAAGGCAGGCAGATCACTTGTGGCAAGGAGTTCAAGACCAGCCAGGGCAATGTGACGAACCCCTTCTCCACTAAAAATACCAAAATTAGCCGGACATGGTGGTGCACGCCTGTAGTCCTAGCTACTCAGGAGTCTGAGGCATGAGAATCACTTGAACCCAGGAGGTGGAGGCTGTAGTGAGCTGATACCATGCCAATGCACTCCAGCCTGGGCGACAGAGCAAGGCCCTGTCTCAAAAAATATATAAAAAATAAAAAAACATGCTGGCGAGATTGCAGAGAAAAGGGAATGCTTATACACTGTCGGTGGACGTGTAAGTCAGTTCAGCCTTTGTGGAAGACAGTGCGGTGATTCCTCAAAGACCTAAAAACAGAAATACCATTTGACCCAACAATCTCATTACTGGGAATACACCCAAAGGAATATAAATCTTTCTATCATAAAGATATGTGTATGGTCATTGCAGCAGTACTCACAAAAGCAAAGGCATGGAATCAACCTAAATGCCTATCAATGGCAGGCTGCATAAAGAAAATGTGGCACATATACACCGTGGAATACTATGCAGCCATTAGAAAGAACAAGATGGTGTCCTTTGCAGGGTCATGGACGGAGCTGTAGGCCATTGTCCTAAGCAAACCAATATAGGAACAGAAAACCAAATACAGCATGTTCTCACATATAAGTGAGAGCTAAATAATGAGAACACATGGACACATAGAGTGGAACAACACACACTGGGGACTATCAGAGGGTGGAGAGGGGGAGAAGGGAGTGGATCAGGAAAAGTAACTAAGGGATACTAGGCTTAATATTTGGGTGAAAAAATAATCTGTACAGCAAACCCCCATGACACAAGTTTACCCATATAACAAACTTGCACATGTACCACTGAACTTAAAATAAAAGTTAAAGATAAAAAATAGCATGTAGTGTTTTAATTTGATACACATTATATGTATTGCCTAACCAGATCATAAATTTCTTTTAAGGCAAAATACCATGTCAGATACGTCATTGATTCTCACACTGCCTATTTTACTCTTGGGAATACAGGAAGGACTTAATAAATGCTTCATTGATTACTCATTAACTACTACTCAGGAAAGTTAATCATCTGTTTCACCCACTTCTCCTGCTAAGCTATAGTTTACCCTTTGTTTGGTGCAATTCCCAACTCGCTCTTTTCACTCCCTTGTTTAGTAAGAAATCATTTCTCTAATTTATTAGGGAAATGGACTAACTACATGCCACTGAGAAAGAAACACCACTAATACACCCAGTCCCAGAATCTAGGAGATGGGGTAAGAATGGTGATTTGCAGTAGCCATCTTTCCTTCATAGGGAATTTCTGAAACTGCAGCCCTTGTATTTGTTGTGTTCTGTAGAAAGAACAGATAGTTACAAATGGAAAGACTAATACAGATCTATGAAACTAAGCTTAGGAAATAACACTTTAATATATGCCCCCTCAACTAAAGAACAAAAATAAATAAATAAATCATTAATTGAAAACAATCATTTGTCCTACCAACTTCCTTTCACAAACCTCTTCACCCTCCCTTGTCCCATATATTTATTGTGTGGCATAAGGGGGAAACATTACTATGCTGAAGCTTTTATATAAGTGGTTCTGCTTGAGTAAAAGGGGGACATATGGAAATCAGCTAACAGCAAGAGTTCAAAGAGGGAAGCTGGAGGAGGAGGAGACATATTGGCTCTGGATTTGGGACATCCCAATGCGTAAATGTTTATAAGCCCAATAAGAACAAAGACCTGAATACACCTTCCAGTTTTAAGTAGCTTTCTTTTTTGAGAAGCAAGAAGCGATCATGGCTGTTTGTGCTGGGCTATATAGCAAAGGTCGAGAATGTCAGTAGGAGCAAGATATAGACAATTACATGAAATAGACATAGATCCAAACACAGTGGGACTCTGATAAAGATTAAAATCAGCATAATAAAGAAAGCCTAATTATCTAATATCAGAGATTGCCATTTTCATGGCATCATGATTATGTCATTGTGTTTCTATAATACATGCTGGTAAAGTCCATAACTTTGTTGTTTTATATATTATATATGTATTTTCTTTCCAGGATCAAGCTTCTTCTTTTAAAAACGTATTTTTAATGTTATATTTCATGAACAATTCCAGTCTGGCTTCAGAGCAACATTTTTCCACCCACATGGGAAACTGTGCCAAACCTTCAAGGTTTTGCAATACTCTTTTGTAGTATTCCTTTTATCAGGAAATCAAGTAAATATTAATTTTTTTCAAAAGAGAGAAGTATGTTTCCCTGCCAAACACCCAAGTTACAGTGTGATATAATATGAGCTATCAACACATTCTGTATGTTTTCCAAAGACTTCAATCGAGATACCACGGTAGCCGTTTGCTTCAGTGAGGGCTCACAAGTCGAATTAAGGGCTGAATTTATTCCAGAACCCTTAAACTTTTTTTTTTTTTTCGGGGTGGGGGGATGGAGTTTTGCTCATTGCCTAGGCTGGAGTACAATGGCGCAATGTTAGCTCACCGCAACCTCCACCTCCCAGGTTCAAGCAATTCTCCTGCCTCAGCCTCCCGAGTAGCTGGGATTACAGGCATGTGCCACCACGCCCGGCTAGTTTTGTACTTCTAGTAGAGACAGGGTTTCTCCATGTTGGTCAGGCTGGTCTCAAACTCCCGACCTCAGGTGATTCAACTGCCTCAGCCACCCAAAGTGCTGGGATTACAGGCATGAGTCACTGCACCTGGCAACCCTTAAACCTTTTCATAAACAAATAAACACATAGTTTAAGACTCTTGATATCTTTTTTCCTAACCATTCATAGCGTCAATAATTTCATTTTTCACAATCCCCAGATTTCTAAAATGCAGTAGTTATTAGACATCCTGCAGTGGGCTAAGAACCCATCCTACAGTGGGGCCATTTTTTCAACACGGACTATCTATACCGTAAAAAAAAAAAAAAAAAAAAAAATACAGGTTTGAAAGTAGAAATGACCTGGTCTCAATTCACAGACAGGACATTACTTCTAAGAACTACAAAGTGCCTTTATTTTTTGAGGTTTAAATACATTTTAAAGGCACCATAGTGTTGGTTCAAAGAAGAAGAAAGAGAAGGAGATTATTAAAAGGACGTTGGGTGAAATAAGAAAAAAGTCAGAAAAGAAGGATTGCCAAGAAATTTAGTCTCTAGGACACACTGGAGGCTTGAGATTAAGTTTTATTTCTCTCCAAAATTTCCGGATGGAATTGCATCTGTAGGAATCCTGGCTCAGATGAGTCCTCTTGGAAAATCAATATATCATAAAATCCAGAATTATTTAAGTTTTAAACACCATCAACATCAAACCAACACCGACTAAAAACTAAATAAGTGGACATGCAATTCACTGGAGACAACCACAACCAACACCATGTGCAGCTCAACTCAGAACTCGCTGAGGGAAGAATTATTCTCCCACAATTTAGACTAACAAATCCACATTCTTAAAGTTTCTCAGACGTCTAATTAAAAGAAGCCCTCTTGGATGATAGAAATATGCCTATGCGTATAATGACTCATTCTATGGCATATCATTTTAAGCCTGTAACTCATTATCAGTTAAATAACATAGGGTCTGGAATGCAATGATAGATGTTAAGGCTGGCAAAGGAATGAGGCCTCACACTAGCAACTGTGTGTGTGCATGTGTATGTGTGCATATGTATGTGTGTGTTTGTCCCACCCATGAATATAGTAGTGTTGACAAATGAAACCATTTGGAGCATTCGTTTTCTGAAGTTCCTTGTTTGATCAGGCCACAGTAGCTATTTGATTAAGCCATTATAGGCCTCCCTATTTGCCAATGAGGAAATCGTGATGAACAATGAAGGCTTTTTCAAGACCACACATAGAAACATGTAACATCCCTGCAGAAACTGAGCTCAACCTTGGGAAAAAGAAATCATCCAACATTTGTCAGACTCATTTGTCCATTCACTACAAAATGCCTATTAAGCACAACCCCAGCAAGTTGTGTATTCAGCAAGTGTTGGGCATCCAGCCACTATGTAACCTGGCCCAAACTACTCAGAAGAAAACCATCCTGGGGGCTAAGAGGCAGAGCACCAATGCTTCTGATTGGTAGCTGCAGCTGTGAAACACCTTGTAAAAGAAACAGTGGGCAAACCTGAGAGCAATGCAATTTATTCCTTTCACAGCAAATAGTATGAATTACCACTTGATAGTCAATCATTTCCTTAGACTTACACAGTCTCCCAGGACAGGACAAGGTAGTGATCATGAACAGAGGACAGATGGCATCCTTCTCCATATGAAAATGGAGTCCAATCGGATGTTAATTTTTTTTTCTCTTTTCAGACAGAGTCTTACTCTTTTGCCCGGGCTGGAATACAGTGGTATCATCACAGCTCACCGTAACCTCAAACTCCTGAGCTCAAGTGATCCTCCAGCCTCAGCCTCCCAAGTAGCTGGGACTACAGGCATGTACCACCACACCTGATTTTTTTTTTATTTTTTTGTAGAGATGGGGTCTCACTATCTTGCCCAGGCTGGCCTTGAACTCCTGGGCTCAAGTGATCCTCTCAACTCAGCCTCCCAAAGTGTTGGGATTATAGGCATGAACCACAGCACCCAGCATTTTTTTTTTTTTTTTTGACAGAGTCTTGCTCTGTTACCAGGCTGGAATGCAGTGGCACGATCTCTGCTCACTGCAACCTCCCCCTCCTGAGTTCAAGCGATTCTCCTGCCTCATACTCCCGAGTAGCTGGGACTACAGGCGTGCACCAAACACCCAGTTAATTTTTGTATTTTTAGTAGAGATGGGGTTTTACCATGCTGGCCAGGCTGGTCTCGAACTCCTGACCTCGTGATCTGCCCGTCTTGGCCTCCCAAAGTGCTTTGATTACAGGCGTGAGCCACCGCACCTGGCCTGCACCCAGCCTTATGTTATTTTAGACGACTTGTTTGAACATCAGAAACTTATTTTCTTTAATCCTGAGGAGCAAATGAGTTTACAGTATTACACTCCGAAGAGATTGTAAATTCTACTTGGTAGATGAAGAGAAAGAGAGGAGTGACTTGTCTTTGGGCATAGTGTCAATTAACAGAAAACTCCATGCAAATAAAAAATACCCATAAGATTTTCATCCCACTCTTTCAGATGCAGAGGAAAAGTCTAAATCATAGTTGTAAGCTTGTAAATATTAAGGCTATGCATATGGCTGTAATAGTAGTTTCTATATGAGGTCAATTTGCCACATTCAAATTTTTATTAAGTACTGCATTGCTATCACATAAAGACAGAGCGTATGTAAAGAATCCATAGAATTGTAAATTTTAAATGAGTAGATTGTATGATATGTGAATTATATCTCACTGAAGACTGAGAACCAAAGTTGAAGAACCAATGCTTCCAGATTAAAAGGGCCCACCAAGTACCCAGTAAATAAATTTAAAATGTCCTCTCCTAAACCATCTCATTGGAAAATTTCCAAACCCTAAGGATAAAAAGAAGACTTGATAATCTTACAGAGGCTGGGTACGGTGGCTCATGCCTGTAATCCCAGCACTTTGGGAGGCTGCGGTGGGCAGATCACCTATGTCAGGAGTTGGAGACCAACCTGGCCAACATGGTGAAACCCCGTCTCTACTAAAAGTACAAAAATTACCCGGGCATGGTGGCAGGCACCTGTAATCTCCGCTACTCGGCAGGCTGAGACAGGAGAATCACATGAACCCGGGAGACAGATTTTGTAGTGATCCGAGATCATGCCACTGTACTCCAGCCTGAGTGATAGAGCGAGACCGCGTCTCAAAAAAAAAAAGAAAATCTTACAGAGATTCTCATCTGCAAAAGAATGAGAATCACGCTCATGTAGGATGGCTCACTGGCCCTGGACACCTGAAGACACTGGGACATGGTTTTCATTGCTTTGAGGGAAAATGATTTTTGACATAGAATTCTTTATCCAACAGAACTATAAACCAAATATAAATCAAGGAGGACTAAAAACATTTTCCTCTAAGGCAATGTTTGTTAGAAGGTTTCTTAAGGATTTACTACACAAAGTGTGGATGAAAAAAAAAGCAAGAAAAGAAGAAAATACAAGATTTAGAAAACAGTCAATTCAACCTAGCAGAACAAAAGAGAGAAGTCCCAAATGCCAGCTGGGGAACTGCCTTGGAGTGGGGTGGGGAGGACCAACCAGATTGCAGCCAAAGGACAGACGGCTCCTAGAAAGTATCTAAGAATATTCCCTTTATTCCATGAACTGGCTGCAATGTTTCAGAAATAAAAGCAAATTACATATGGGATAAAAGTAGATAAAGATGTAAGTTTTTTAAATCCTCACATCTCATAACAGGCATTTCCAATAATAGGAAGTCAGGCCAGGCATGGTGATTCACACCTACAATCCCAGCACTTTGGGTAGCCGATGCAGAGGATCACTTGGGCTCAGGAGTTTGAGACCACCCTAGGCAACAAGGTGAGACCCTCTATCTCTCCAAAAATATCAAAAAATTAGCCGAGTGTGGTGACACATGCCACCGCAGATACAAGGGACGTTGAGGCAGGAGGATCACTTGAGCCCAGGAGGTCAAGGCTACAGTGAGCCAAGATCACACCATTGCACCCCAGCCTGGGCAACCGAGTGAGACCCTGTTTCAAAAATAAATAAAGAAACAAAAGTAAAAATTAGAAAAAAATAAAACAAGATGAGGAGCTTGTAAACCCAAACTTAGGGGTGTAATCAAAATATACACATCAACTATGGAACTTGGTAAACTGAAATAAATGTTAAAAATGATATCTCCAGGCTGAGCATGGTGGCTCACGCCTGTAATTCCCAGCACTTTGGGAGGACAAGGCAGGCGGATCACGAGGTCAGGAGTTCGAGACCAGCCTGGCCAACACAGTGAAACCCTGTCTCTACTAAAAATACAAAAATTAGCCAGGTGTGGTGTGGGCACCTGTAGACCCAGCTACTCTGGAGGCTGAGGCAGGAGAATTGCTTGAACCAGGGAGGCAGAGGTTGCAAGTGAGCCAAGCTCATGCCATTGCATTCCAGCCTAGGCAACAAGAGCAAGACTCCATCTCAAAAAAAAAAAAAAAGATACATCCCTTCCCCTAAAAAAAGGTGTAGTGGGTGATTAATTTGATTCTAATTTGGTTAATTCTGCCTAAAAATAAAGCAAAGTTGTATAAAAGAGGTAATATTTGAGCTAAACCCTAAATTATTGGTAGGATTTTGATGGAGAAAGGAAAAGCTGTATTCTAGCTTATCCTAAAATGTATTCTACAAAAGGACAATCATTTGTAGGCATGCAAACCAAAAGCCAATTACACCTTCCAGAAAGGAACTATTATTTTTTAAATACTCATCTGAAAAGAAGAAATATTCAGAATATTTTATGCTAAGCTCAGACTTACTTGTACCAGAAAATACTTTCTGAGCTTGTGAGTCACTTAGTTACTTAAAGAATAAAATTCTGAAAGAAACAAGATTATATTGTGTGTCAGTGACCATGAAGGTTGAATTCATTTACCTAGAACAGTTTCTGTTGACTTAACTATGCTTTAAGTTTACTTCTCTAATTCTGTAATGAAAGTAGCAGAGCTGGTTACAGGGAAAATGTTCATAGTGAATCACAGTTTGAGTGCTTTTGTTCTTTTTATTATTTTTTTCTTAGAGCATGTCTTGGTAATTTCTAACTCCAAGCTTATTTTATTGAAGTCTTCAATTTATAACTAAATCTGTTATTATGCCAACAAACTTGATCTACATATTTTATTTATTTATCATTGATTTTTTAAAAGAAATGAGGTTTTTCTAACCAAAGTCAATTTGGAGTCAAAATAGATGATATACACTAAAATTTCATGAGGAGTTTTCTATGAAGTCATTTGAGGAAACAAAAATCACAAGAACTTTTGAATTAAAACAAGTTTATTTTTGTTGCCAAATATTTTTAAAATAATAATTCTGCTTTTTAGCACCTGTGTGCTTTTTAGTCAAACACACCAAAACGCCACCAGGTTGAGAGGAGCAATCTGAATACTTTAAAAGCTTTAAAAAATAGATTTAGCAGGTAATTATGATTTTTATATCATAAAATTTTATTAAAATCTCCTCTGTCTCTTGTTTATTCTTCCACTTTACATGTTTAATCTCAACTGCCTTCACATATCAACCTCATTTACTCAAGCAGAGATAAGACCAGCGGGAAAGAGAAAAACGTACCTTATTATTTCAAGTCGACAAATAGTTATTGAGTGCCTATCTTGTACAGAACTATGCTAGGTGCTCTGGAGAATATGAAAGTAGCATGATACCTGACCTTTGTCCTCATCCTTGTATAGAGAGATCAAATCAGTGGGGCATTGCAAAACAGTGCAATATGAGAATAAATGTTCATGGCATGGGAGGGGCACAGACAGGAACTCACAGATTCAGATAAGGAAGGGCTCAGGTTGAGCTACAGTGGAGGGAAATGATGGCCTCCAGAGAAGATCTCGGCCTTGGGGGATGAGTTTAAAGGGTCAGATGGGTAGAGAGGATAAGCAAGCCCAGGCAGTGACATGAGCACAGATGCAGAGACAGGAAGGGGTAGATTGTATTTGAAGTTCTAGTTTGGCCAAACTGAGATAAACTCACCATTAGGGAGAGTGGGATAAGGTTGGAGTAGTTAGGAGCAACTTTGCAGGCAGTCTTAGAAGTATTATGCAGGCAATAGAAAACCATTCAAATGTTGTGAGATGGAAGATGACCCAGCAAAACCAACTTTTGGGCACATTCCTACTGCAACTCTGTACAGAGGAATATTATAGAAGTGTAGGATAGAAGGGTATTTGACTTTCCAGATGTGAGGTGATGGGAATTTAAATCATTAAAAATACTTAACTAGGAGGCCATTGGGCTAAGATGGCTCCAGTGCCTTGGGTTCCGACATAAGCAAACCAAATCCCAATTTGATGTAAACAATAAAGCAAAATCTAAGCTTAACCAATTAGAAACCACCAAATAACCTTTAGCTAGAAATCTGACCAATCAGAAACCACCAACTGACCTCTAACTAGGGACTTTTCACATTGGCTAATCAAATGTTTTCTCTGTCTTGCTTCCAAGAATACTTGATGTTTCCTCTCTCACACACTTCCCACACCTCATGGAGTGCTGAACCACTTGAGGTCTGATGATGCTCAATTCATGAATTGCTGAATGCTTAAATTCATTAAAATTTTAATATGACTAAATGTATCTTTTAACACAATTATGGTTGGTGGTAGTAGAAAAAAATAGAAAAGAAAAAAATGGAAAAAAAGAAAAAACAAGAAAAGAAGCCAGGCATGGTGGCTCCTGCCTATAATAATTCCAATTCTTCAGAAGGACAAGACGGGAGGATTTCTTGAAGCCAGGAGTTTGAGACCAGCCTGGGCAACACAGTGAGATCCCGTCTCTACAAAAAATTTAAAAAAAATTAAAAATTAGCAAGGCATGGTGGCATGTGCCTATAGTCCTAGCTACTCAGGAGTCTGAGGCAAGAGGATCACTTGAGCCCAGGAGTTCAAGGCTGCAGTGAACTGTGATGGCACCACTGTACCCTAGCCTGGGCAACAGAGCAAGACCCTGTCTCTAAAAAAATAAAAGATACTAAAAAATAAAAAAACAAGGAAAGAATCAATTGGATCTGTGTATTGACTAATTTGAGACAGCTCTTAGATGTATTCATAAACGTAACTATAAACTCCAATCAATATGTCCAAAACTAAGCTCAGAATCTCCGTTCATCCAAACCTATTCTTCCTCTCGTTTCTCTATCTCAGTAAGTGGTACCTTTATTCTTCCAGTTGCCCAAACCAGAAACTAAAATGGAAGATGTTGCCTCGTCACTCTTCCCTTCCCACAGCCCCATCTCTAATATATCACCAGGTTATAATATTTCTCTATTATTTCTCAAGTCCACCCACTTCTTTCCAACTTTTTGCTATTTCCCTCATCAAGGCCACTGTCAGTTCTTGTGTGAATTATCACAGGACTCCTAAGACATCTCCCTGCCATTCACTATTATTAAAAAGACAACAACAACAAAAAAAAACAGATGATGGTGAGGATACTGAGAAAAGGGAACTCTTACACACTGTTGATCAGAATGTAAGTTAATACAATCACTGTGGAAAACAGTATGGGAATTTCTCAAAAAACTAAAAATATAACGACCATAAAATCCAACGTTTCCACTACTGGGTATCTACTCAAAGGAAAGGAAATCAGTTTATCAAAGGGATACCTAAACACACATGTTACATGTTTATCACAGCACTATTCATGATAGAAAAGATATGGAATCAACCTACATGTCCATCAATGGATGAGTGGATAAAGAAAATATGGTACATATACGCTATGGAATACTATTTGACCACAAAAAAGAATGACAACATGTCATCTACAGCAACATGGATGGAACTAGAGGCCATCATGTTAAGTAACATAAGCCAGGGTGGAAGGACAAACACTACATGCTCTCACTTATATATAAGAGCTAAAAACTTGATCCCATGAACATAGAGAATAAAATGATAGACACCGGAGAGTGAGAAGGAGGCAGGAATGAAGAAAGGTTGGTTATGGGTACACACATAGGGTTAGATAGAAAACTAAGTTCTAATGTTTGATAGCAACCTAGGGTAACTATACTTAGCAACAATATTATGTATATGTCAAAGAAACCAGAAGAGAGGACTCAAAATGATACCAACACAAAAATGATAAACACTCAGGTGATAGATGCCCCAAATACCCTGAAAACTCTCAGGTGATGACAGATACTCCAAATACCCTTACTTAATCATTACATAGTCTATGCATGTAACAAACACTCATATGTATCCCATAGATATGTACATTATTATATATCAATAAAGGGGAAAAAAATCTCCCTGCCTTATCCCACTGTTCCCCTACCCATTTTCAAAACCATAGCCAGAATTATATTTCTCAATAATGTCAATCTGATATCAGCAACATTGCAACTTAAGCTACTCACATGTGCAAATAAAATGTAGCTTCTTTATTTTCTTTAATCTTCATGGGTCCTCATCCAACAGAATAGTGGAAGAGAGTATAAAGCAGTTAAACCTGCCAATAGAGGGCACTTTCATTTCCTCTGTTTTTTTTAATACTGAAATATTCAGTCTCCATAGAGACTGTCAAAAATTGCCAATGCCAACTATATTGCAAGTTGTCACGGCCAGGTATTGGGAAAAGTTTTCAATTAGCAATAATTACTCCTGGATAAACCTCATTGGCTACAATACTGTCACTGCATGAAGCTCATTTCTTCTATTTTTAAGTCTTTTTAAAGTTGTTCTAACTTCCCTGGAATTTTGTTGTAACTCACAGCCTTCCTCTCTCTCATCCTTTCATCAACAATATCAATCCTATACCCTCTGGGAATCTTTATCCCACACATTGAAAAGATGAGGTTCCCCTAGGTGATGATTTCTCAGTAGTACTTCCCTATTCAATCATCAATCCACTAAATATACTTCATTTTGTGTGTAAAACTTGGCTTATTTGGAAATACCCAAGTCAAGACTGTTCCCTGTCATACAAGTTATGTAACTGATGCCTGGGTACTTTGTGACCTGGTGAAACCAGTAAATTAGCCCTTTAAAGATTCCAAAATCTTACCAGGGACAGCAATGAGATGGCCTCCAAGAATTCTGAACAAGAACGTTAAGATTATTCTGTGAATACTAGATTTTTTTTTTTTTTGAGACGGAGTCTCGCTGTGTCGTGAATACTAGATATTTTTTGGTGTTGCAGATTTTTGCTTTTTTCTGAAAAAAGTAATAAGCTTATTGTAAGATGAATCCTATATTTGAAAATCAACATGAATGGAGGCATAATAGCTATTAGTTTTGCCCATCTGCCACTCTTTCTCCGCTTTTCCTTCTGTGAACAGGCACCACCAACTTCACAACAGGGTTTTATGGGACTCATCTTGGAGTCTCATCTCTTCCTGGACACAGCAATTGGTTCAGGGGTGGACGCATGAACCAAAAAGAACTACTGGGAATCTTCCCAAAATGTCTCTGCCGGGCTGCCAAAAGAAGAAGAATCTCTTATTTCTCGAGTCACTAAATCAAGGGCTGCCTGCCAGACATGTCATCCTCTCCCTCACCTCCTCCACGAGGGAGAGAGTCAGGCTGCCATGGAAGAGAATGGAGCTGGCTTCAGAAGGAGGCAGAGACGAGACAGACAAATAGAGAGGCCAGACATCATTCAGGTTCTCAGTTCCAGTTGTCACTAAAGCCAGTGAGACATTTTAATCTGGTTCCATTTGTCAGTGCATTTCCTTTTGTTGTTTAAGCTAAGGTGGGCTTCTATCACCACAACCAAGAGTCTTAACAATTCAGGATGAAAGTGAGGATACACAAAATCAGAACCTTGGTAATACTAGTGTTTGTTTCTTTGGATAAACAAGCAAATGCTGCAAAAGAACTCTAGAACTTCTTCCCATTCACCACAAAATGTAAAGAGATACTTTCACTTTCTTATGAAGTTTCTCATTCACTTGTCATTATCTGATACCCACACAATATCAAAGACTTGCAGTGTCTTTCTTACATTGTTCCTATTATTACATATTCAAAAAAAATCTTGTTTTAACTTTTCTTAGTACATTATCGTATCAGTACCTTTGCATTTAAAAAAACAAACTTTAAGAAATGATTAACAATTTCTAATGCAAGATACCGGTTTCTCTCATTCCCAGGAGAAGGAGAAGATGAATGCCTCATAATAGGATTTAGAGAGAAAGAAAAAACAGCTTTCCTTAGGCTGTTTCGACACATTGACATGAGAGATCGCGCTGCCTGATCTCAGCAGGGAAGAGCTTGAGGAAGGCAGGAGATGGGCTAGGAAACAATGGAGACAAACGAGGTGCATTTGCGAAGACCCCCACCATGGGTTCTCCTTGCACAGTTTCTTCAGTTGATTTGGAATGCTATAAATTTCTGGAACACCAGACACACCCAGGTTCCAGTGCAAGTACAAAAACATATCCCACGCCAAATCCAAATTATTTTTGTATCATCTACCATTTGAGATTATGCCCTGTTCTTCCCCTTTCCCTCAGAGCAGATAAGCAAGAATCAACTGTGTAGTTATTAACTAAGAAAAAGAAAATGGGATGAATGGGTTGATGGGAGATGCTGCAGGGTCACAATGGACGACTGAGCAGAAGACTGTTTGGTATCACATCCCCAGCTCGATCAGTGGCTTATGCAAGAGACTGAGTAACTGCTTACCTAATTTTACTGCTAGGTGAGAACAACATGTCCTTCCTCCTTCCTAGCATGCTATGAAAACTAAAGAGATAACATCTTAAAATACTTAAATACTTGGAAAAAAATGATAGCATAGAAACATGATATTACCACCACACTCCAAGGTAGCATATATTTTCTTCATACACAGTACAAAAATTTTCCATAACAGACCCCCCAAAATTTGAAAAGCCAAGGAATTCCTACTTGCTTTGTGAGTAAATCTCTTATCAAGAGCTTAGAGAATGTAAAATTCATTGTGCACATGTACCCTAAAACTTAAAGTATAATAAAAAAAAAAATTACGGAATTTTTGTTAGTACTCTGTGTGTCATAATTGGGATTATATTTTTAAATAAGTTATCTTTTAGAGATATATTCAAAATACTTATAAGTGATATAATGTCTGGTGTTTTCTTCAAACTAATCCAGGAGAAAGGAAGAAAAACAGCATGGTAGTATAGATAAAATAATTGGACAGAGTTTATAATTATGGAAGCTGGGTGATGCATATCTGGGGATGAATTATATAATTTCTCATATTTTGTATATATTTAAATTTTTCATAATAAAAACATTTGAAATGCTAAAAAAGTTAAAGTAAAAAATAAAACAAAAAAAAGAGAATGTAAAATTTAACCCTCTGCTATGTGCACTTATTTGATTTCAATAAATGTTACACATATTCAAGTGAGAAGAATATTTGATCAAACACTTTAACCAAGGATTAAAATGAAGTCTTTATAAATTATATATGAACGTTCCCTTAGTTTTGGAGGAAATAAAAAAGTATAATTTCAGGGTTTTTTTATTCTAACTCTATTTTGGAATTTCAAAGTCACTGATACCTTTAAAAGATATATATTTTTTAAAACTTATCTAAAAGGCAAATATGACATGGTCCTTACTACATAAGATGAAGGACTTTAGTGGCTTCTAGACTTGTACATAAGAAATTGAAATTTTAACTTCTAAATTTCAAGTTCAGATCTATTAATCACAATTGCAAAGTTCCAGGAAGAATTTTATGCAAAGTGCTGTAGATACCTAAATATGGATTAGGTCGGAATTAAATCTATTTCAAGTTAAGTGCCAACTCTAATCACTTGTTAGTCATTTCTAGAACCCTGTATTTAAAAAATTCTGAGGTCACATCTAGTTTTAGCAATACAGAATACTGTGATCAATTGACAATGTCTGCCACAGGCTCAGAAATGGGACATGGTGAGCACGGTGACATCAATGCATTGTATGTGCCGTCTCTGGGGTATAAAGCAATTGTCCCTTAATATAGTAACACTTTCATTGTTAGTGATTACTGTCTAACTCAGAAGTTATTTGAATTAGTCACTGTTCTCCAAAAAAAAAAAAAAAAAAAAAAACAATATATAGGATGGAAGGAGAGAGAGAGAGAGAGAGAGAGAGAGAGAGAGAGAGATTTATTTTAAGGAATTAGCTCACACAATTCTGAGGGCTGGCAAGTCTGAAAATTTAGAGGGGAGCCCAGCAGGCTGGAGACCCAGAGAAAAGCTGATGTTGTAGTTTAAGTCCAAAGGCTGTCCAGAGGCAGAATCCCTTCTCCCCCAGGGGAACCTCAGTCTTTTCTCTTAAGGTCTTCAACTGATTGGATGAGGCCCCCCAACCTCACGGAGAGAAATCTGCCTTACTCAAAGTCCACTCATTTAAATGTTAATCACATCTTTAAAAAAATCTTCACAGCAACATCCAGACTCCTGTTTGACACAAATCTGGGTACCATGGCCTACCCATGTTGATATAAAAACTTAAACATCACAGCATTAAGAGTTATTTCTTGGCCGGGCACAGTGGCTCATGCCTGTAATCCTAGCACTTTGGGAGGCCGAGGTGGGCAGATCACCTGAGGTCAGGAGTTCAAGACCAGCCTGGCCAACATGGCAAAACCCCATCTCTACTAAAAATACAAAAATTAGCCTGGCATGGCGGTGGGCACCTGTAATCTCAGCTACTCGGGAGGCTGAGGTAGGAGAACGACTTGAACCCAGGAGGTGGAGGTTACAGTGAGCCGAGATCGCGCCATTGCACTCCAGCCTGGGCTACAAGAGCAAAAACTCTGTCTCAAAAGAAAAAAAAAAGAGTTATTTCTTTGTTGACAATGTACTAAGTGCAGATCTCATGTTCTTGACATTGCCCAAACAGAATCATCTCACTATTTCTCACGATGATCCTCTGATGAGTGTATTATTATCCACTCTTCATAGATAAGCAAAGCAAGCCAAGATGTTAAGCAACTTTTCCAAGGCCAAGAACTAATCAGTTGAGAGAAGTCTTGCTAAAATAATGCTGTTTCAATGTTTCTCCAACCTCACTGTTTTAAATAGCATTTCTCTACATATCTACATAGCCTACATATATATATATACACACACATATATATACACATATATACACACACATGTATACACACATATACACATGTATACACACACATACACATGTATACACACACATACACGTGTATACACACACATACACGTGTATACACACACATACACGTATATACACACACATACACATGTATATACATGTATACACATGTATATACACACGTATACACATGTATATACACACATGTATACACATGTGTATACACACATGTATATACACATATATACATATATACACATATATACACGTGTGTATATACACGTGTGTATATACACGTGTGTATATACACACATATATATATATACACACACATATATATACACATATATATATATTTTTTGGAGACAGGGTCTCACTTTGTCATGCAGGCTGGAGAGCAGTGGTGTGATCACAGCTCACTGAAGCCTCGACCTCCTGGGTTCAGGCTATCCTCCCATCTCAGCCCCACAAGCAGCTGAGACCACAGGCATGTACCACAACACCCGGCTAATATTTTTTTTTATTATTATTTTTGGTAGAGAAGGAATCCCCCTATGTTGTCCAGGCTGGTCTTGAACTCCTGGGCTCAAATGATCCTCCCATCTAAGCTTCCCAAAGTGCTAGGTTTACAGGTGTGAGCCACCGTGCCCGACCCTCTACATAACCTCTCCAAAACCTCCCTAATTGCTTTACTCTCCCTCTGCATATGAATATACATAGGTCTATTCCATTTCATACTGTACTTAAACAACATGGGTGTTTCCCTACTAAAACCTTTCTGATTGCACCCAATTTCTTAAACGCTGCCTCTGCTTCCCCATCTCTCACTCCCCTTCTGCCACAGGATTCAAAACTCAGGAGTGATGGCTGAAGGCGAAAGCTCAGATTCTCTCCTCAGTTGCACTTCTGCGCTCTCTCTTGGTACCACTTGGCACTACGGACGCCCTTTACCCCTTGAGACACTCTCTCTCCCCTCCATGGCTGCCAGGAAAGTCCCACACACTCCTTCTCTGTTTGTGACCATTTTCTGTTTCCTTCAATGGAGCCATTCTTAATCTTGGCTTTCTACACACCTGGAATGTCTCTGCATCCTCTTCTCCAGGGTTCAGCAAGCTTTCTGTAAAGGACCAAATGGTAAGCACTTTAGCCTTTGCAGGTCATAGGGTCTCTGCTACAAGTGCTCTCCTCTATTTTATCTCAAATGTATCTGACCCCAGACAATACTAAAAGGATGGGTGCGACTGTGTTTCAATAAAACTTTATTTATTGGCACTAAACTTGAATTTCATGTAATTTTTATGTGTCACAAAATATTATTCTCTTAAAACAATTTCTCCATGATTTAAAGGCCATTCTTAGCTCACAGGCCATATTAAAACAGATAATGTACTGGGCAGTAGATTGCCAACACCTACATTATAAACCCTAAATCATCTTTAAAATCTAGGTCAAATTCAACCTCCTCCCTAGAGCCTTCTGTAAGTACTCTAGGGTAAAGTGACATCTTCTGCCTCTAAGTAAACACATCTGATAACTCTCATTATTATCTGTTTCATATTCTCTATTGTCCCCTGACCTCTAAAACAAGGTTAGGTCGGGGCGCACAGTGGCTCACGCCCATAATGCCAGCACTTTGGGAGGCCAAGGCAGGCAGATTGCTTGAGATCAGGAGTTCGAGACCAGCCTGGCCAATATGGTGAAACCCTGTCTCTGCTAAAAATACAAAAAAAAAAATTAGCTAGGCATGGTGGTGGTCGCCTGTAATCCCAGCTACTCAGGAGGCTGAGGCAGGAGAATTGCTTGAACCTAGAAGGCAAAGGTTGCAGTGAGCTAGGATGGCGCCACTACACTCCAGCCCGGGTGACAGAACGAGACTCCTCTCAAAATAAAAATAAAATAAAATTAAAATTTAAAATAAAACAAGGTTAAATATTTTACTGATTTTACACTTTTCACGCATACAAATCCTCTCTCTCTCAGATTGCAAAAAACCTTAAGAACCGAAACAATGTCTTCCATTTATATATCCTTCATGGTGCCTTGCAGATTGTAAGTCTTCAATAAATTCTGGTTTGTAATACAATGTTAATATTAAAAATACATATAAATATATATGTAAATACATATAAATACGTGTGTGTATATATATATACGTGTGTGTGTGTGTGTATATATATATATATATATATATATATATATATATATACACATTTTTTTTTTTGAGACAGAGTCTCACTCTTGCCCAGGCTGGAGTGCGGTGGCACAATCTCGGCTCACTGCAACCTCTATCTCCTGGGTTTAAGCGATTCTCATGCCTCAGCCTCGTGAGTAGCTCACATTACAGGTGTGTGCCTCTATACCGGCTAATTTTTGTATTTTTGGTAGAGACGGTGTTTCGCCATGTTGGCCAGGCTGGTCTCCAACTCCTGGCCTCAAGTGATCCTCCCGCCTCAGCCTCCCGAAGTGCTGGGATTACAGGCATTGAGCCACTACACCAAAATACATATATTTTAAAAGACTATGTTGTCCAAATAAACTTCTCTCTTGCACAATACATTGAGTGAATGGAGGTCTAAATGCCCGCTTTATATCAGGTACTGATAAAAGCTTTTATATACATTAATACATTATTTCAATTAACTGTCATGACAGTCCAGTGATGTAGGCAGCATTATCTCCCTTTTACCAAAGAGGAAGCTGAGGCTCCAAGGCAATTGAATTGCCCATGTCATCGAGATCTTCTAACTTTGAACTCCACACCTCTACATTTGCTTCAGTTCAGAAGGAAGAATTAAAAAGACTTTTTTCTAATAATCGTAATTATTATCATCCCTTTAGGAAGCATATGGCCATGGATGAAGAGGATGAAAGCAAGTGTAAAGTTCAAAAATGCTCAAGGAACTTATTTTACCCAGGCTCCTCTACTCGAAATCACTTCCATCCTTGACCTCCCAATCCCATCTATCACCAATTGCTGATTCCAGCTCAGTGCTACCCACTTCACTCTGCTCTGCTAAATACTAATTTGTCTTCCCATCTCAAGTCATGCCTCCTTCCCATTCATTCTTCACTCTGTTATCAGAATGACCCTTCTAAAACACAAATTTGTTCATATTACTTTGCTGCTTAAGCCCTGCAAAGATGTCCTTTTGCCCGTAGAAGGAGTCTACACCACTTGAAACGGTACATAAAGCTCTCCACATCTGCCGGGTGCAGTGGCTCACGCCTGTAATCCCAGCACTTTGGGAGGCTGAGGCAGCAGGATCACCTGAAGTCAGGAGTTCAAGACCAGCCTGGACAACATGGAGAAACCCTGTCTCTACTAAAAATACAAAAAATTAGCTGGGCATGGTAGCACATGCCTGTAATCCCAGCTACTCCAGAGGCTGAGACAGGAGAATCACTTGAACCCTGGAGACAGAGGTTGCAGTGAGTCAAGATCACGCCACTGCACTCCAGTGAGGGTTACAGAGCAAGACTCTGTCTCCAAAAAAAAAAAAAAAAAAAAATTCTCCACATCTGGACCCTACCCCTGACCCCCACCTCACCTGACCCCTCATGTGCCTTCATGCTCGGTGCTCCAAGTTCTCACAGTTGCTCCATCAGGCCATAGACACTGTACTCAACCACCGCTCTCATGTCTGTTCTCTTCAGTAAATGGGAAGACAAAGGGAGACCTGGATATGAGTGGCAGCAAGAGCACCATGACAAAGGCACAGGGTCCCATGCCTTGGAGCCCATGGCTTAGAATTCTCTTCTCCTTCTTCTTTACCTGGCTAATCTTCACTCTGCAAGGCTCATCTTTTGAATAAATTAATGAAGACTTCCTCTTCTCTTCTGACCATAACACCATTCTCTGATAGACGTTTCTGCCTTTATATTATTTTACCAATCCACATCCATCTCTTTTATCTTGTTTTACAAAGAAATCTACCTCTACACATTTAGTCACCTGATTACTAATCTGCTCTCCCAATGTATATGCTGCTGCTGAAGGAGCTGTTAGTGTTTCCTTCATCTGCCCACTGTTTATGATCCAAGGTAACCAGGTGGAGCACATCAAAAAGTTCTAGAAGAAAAATTCTGTATTGACCAGGTGGGGTTTCTCACACCTGTAATCCTAGCACTTTGGGAGGCCGAGGCGGGTGGATCACTTGAGGTCAGGAGTTCAAGACCAGGCTAGCCAACATGGCAAAACCCCATCTCTACTGAAAAATACAAAAATTAGCCGGGCGTGGTGGTGCATGCCTCTAATCTCAGCTACTCAGGAGGCTGAGGCAGAAGAATGCTTGAACCCAGGAGGCAGATGTTGCAGTGAGCCAAGAACGTGCCACTGCACTCTAGCCTGGACAACAGAGCAAGACTCTGTAAAAACAAACAAACAAACAAACAAACAAACAAAAACCTCTCTGTATTTACATCTCCTACAGACAACATGACCAGTCTGCCTATCAAATGAGTATATTCTTTACTCAGAATACTCCCTTATGATTTCCCCACAACCCCCAACACCACCAACAATTCAATATTCTTCCAGGACCTTAGGGACCCAAGTCATTCAAGTGGACCACCACTTGTAGTAGACACAGAGGCACCACCGAATCTCCTTTCAAGAAAGGATTTACTGCCCAGCTATAGGGGTGTTATCAGCAGAATGACTACAGGTATCAGCTCCTCCAGGAGAGAACCCTTTTGACTGAGGTCAGGCCCTTCCCATGGCAGCCCACATGTGCTGACTAAGAAAGGCAGGGATGTAAAGACTCAGTCATTTGGGCCAAACATGGGACAACTCTGGTAGGCAGTGCTCACTCCAGAGCTTCCTGCTGGGTTGGCCAAGGCTTAATGGGGTCTATATTGCACAGTCATGCATCGCTTAAAGACGGGGATACATCCTGAGAAATACATCAAGTCATCAGGCTATTTCATTGTTATGCAAACATCACAGAGCAGGAGTCCCCAACCTCAGGGGCCATGGATCAGTACCAGTTCGTGGCCTGTTAGGAACCAGGCCACACGGCAGGTGGTGAGCAGCAGACAGGTGAGCATTACCGCCCGAGCTCCACCTCCTGTCAGACCAGCAGTGGCATTAGACTCTCATAGGAGCAGGAACCCTATTGTGAACTGCACATGCGAGGGATCTAGGTTGCATGTTCCTTATGAGAATCTAACTAATGCCTGATGATCTAAGGTGGAACAGTTTCATCCCAGTACCCTCTTCCCCACCATCTGTGGAAAAATTGTCTCCTACAAAACAGGTCCCTGGTGCCAAAAAGGTTGGGTTCCACTGTCATAGAGTGTACTTACACAAACCTAGATGGTATAGCCTATTGCTCCTAGGCTACAAACCTGTACAGCATGTTACTGTACTGAATACTGTAGGCAGTTATAAGACAATAGTAAGTATGTGTGTATCTAAACATAAAAGAGGTACAGACTGTGTACAGTGGCTCACACCTGTAATCCCAACACTTTGGGTAGCTGAGACAGAAGTATTGCTTGAGCACAGGAGTCTGAGACCAGCCTGAGCAACATAGTGAGACCCTGTCTCTACTTTAAAAAAAAGAAAAGAAAAGGTACAGTAAAAATATAGTATAAAAAAGATAAAAAATAGTACACCTATATAGGGCACTTACCATGAATGGAACTTGCAGGACTAGAAGTTGCTCTGGTTGAATCAGTGAGTGGTGAGTGAATGTGAAGGTCTAGGACTTTACTGTACACTACTGTAGATTTTATAAACACTGGACACTCAGGCTACACTAATTTTTTTTCTTTTTTTTTTTTTGAGACGGAGTCTCACCCTGTCACCCAGGCTGGAGTGCAGTGGCGTGATCTCGGCTCACTGCAACCTCCACCTCCTGGGTTCAAGCAATTCTCTGCCTCAGCCTCCCAAGTAGCTGGGATTACAAATGCCCACCACCACGCCTGGCTAATTTTTTGTATTTTTAGTAGAGATGGGGTTTCACCATCTTGGCCAGGCTGGTCTCGAACTCCTGACCTCATGATCCACCCCCTCCCTTGGCCTCCCAAAGTGCTGGGATTACAGGCATCAGCCACCATGCCCAGCCTACACTAAATTTATTTAAAAATATTTTCTTTCTTCAATAATAAATTAACCTAAGCTTACCATAACTTTTTCACTTTATAAACTTTTTAACTTTCTGACTCTTTTTAATAACACTTAGCTTAAAACACAAACACATTGCATAGCTATAAAAACTATTTTTTTCTTTATAGCTTTATTCTATAACCTTTTTTCTATTTAAAACTTTTTTCTTTTTACTTTTTAAATTTTTTGTTAAAAACTAAGACACTGGTCATGCGTAGTGGCTCATGCCTGTAATCCCAGCACTTTGGGAGGCTGAGGCAGGTAGATCACTTGAGGCCAGGAGTTCAAGACCAGCCTGGCCAACATAGGGAAACCCCATCTCTACTAAAAATACAAAAAATTAGTTGGGCATGGTGGTGCACACCTGTAATCCTAGCTACTTGGGAGGCTAAGGCACGAGAATCACTTGAACCCTGGAGGCAGAGGTTGCAGTGAGCTGAGATCGCACCACTGCACTTCAGCCTGGGCAATAGAGTAAGACTCTGTCTCAAAAATTAAAAAATAAGACACAAACACACACATTAGCCTAGGCCTACATAGGGCCAGGATCGTCAATATCACTGTCTTCCACCTCCATATCTTGTCCCACTGGAAGATCTTCAGGACAATAACACCAGTGGAGCTGTCATCTCCTATAATGGCAAAGCCTTCTTCTGGAATACCTCCTGAAAGACCAGTCAGAGGCTGTTTTATAGTTAACTTTTTTTTTTAAAAAAGTAGAAGGAGTACATTCTAAAATAATAATAAAAAACATAATATAGTAAATATATAAACCAGTAACATAGTCATTTATCTATAATTATCAAGTATTATGTACTGTACATAATTTTGTGTGCTATACTTTTACGTGCCTGGCAGAGCAGTAGGTTTGTTTATATCAGCATCAGCACAAACACATGAGTAATGCGTTACTCTACGACATTGGAATGGCTACAGCGTCACTAGGTAATAGGACTCTTTTAGCTTCATTATAACCTTACGGGACCACCATTGCATATGCAGTCCAATGTTAACCAAAATGTCATTATGCAGGGCATAACTGTAGTTTGATCTCTTCCTCTGCCCATTTCTGGTTTTTTCCACTATTCTTTCTCAAGTGTGAATTCCCGATAAACATCTTGCACATCTCAGTGGCTGTTTCCAGAAACCCTGAGCTGCAACAGCACTTCATCAAAAGGTGGCATGATAAGCATGGCAACTGGTTCTAAAGTCCCAGAAAAAAAAAAAAAAAAAAAAAAAAAAAAACATGCATCTTAGTGGAAGAGACCATTTGGCTCTCTTTCTGATATATACACCACTCATCCCTGCCAAAAGTGAGACAATCTCTTCAGATTACAGAGATCAATAGCCAGTAAGCCTTCTTTCTTTAGTCAATCAATCCACTGCACAATGCATTGTTATCACTCCCAACTACACCTATGTGGCCAAGACTTCTGCGACAATTCCCCACCCCCACCCTCTGCAAGTACGCCCATGCTCTACCTAATAACATCATATGCAGAAATGGTCCCCTGGGAGAGTGACGAGCCAGAACAGGGATCAGTGATCTTCCTCCCCATTCAGAAGGTTTTTACAAGTGTGTTAGGCAGATCCATCCTGCAAACTCAGAGAAAATTAAAAAAAAAATAAAAATAAAAATAAAATTCTCATTAGTTTGCATTTCAGGATTCACGCTGACAATTTCCCATTTTCCTATTCTGACTCAAAGCGCCTCACTGGGACATGATACTTGCATTCATTTCCTAGGGCTGCCATAGCAAAGGAGCACAGAGACCTGGCGCTATGGCTCATGCCTGTAATCCCAGCACATTGGGAGGCCAAGGTGGGCTGATGGCTTGAGCCCAGGAGTCCAAGACCAGTCTGGGCAACGTAGTGAGACCCCATCTCTACAAAAAATAAAAATAAAAAATCAGCCAGACGTAGTGGCATGTACTGGTAGTCCCAGCTACTCAGGAGGCTGAAGCAGGAGGATCAAGCCTGGGAGGTCAACAGTGCGGTGAGCCACAATTGCACCACTGCACTCCAGTCTGGGTGACAGAGTAAGACCCTGTTTCAAAAAATAATAATTATAAGCAGCACCAACTAGGTCACTTTAAACAACAGACATGTATTCTTTCACAGTTCTGGAGGCTAGACAGCCACATGTGTGGTGTCTGCAGGGTCATGCTTTCTACGAAGGCTCCAGGGGAGAATCTTCTTTGGCCTCTTCCTAATTTCTGGTGGTTACCAGCAAACCATGGTATTCCTTGGCTTACAGCTGTAGCATTATCCGTAATCAAGTGGCTGCCTCCTGTGTGTGTGTGGCAGAGGTGGATGCATACACCTCATCACATGATATTCTCTCTATGTGTGCCTAAGGTCTCTTTTCCTCAAAAGGACACCAGTCATATTGGATTTAGGGCTGACTGTACTCCAGTACAATCTCTGGGTTTTTGTTTTTGTTTTTGTTTTTGCTTTTTTCATATTTTTTAGAGACAGGTTCTCACTATGTTGTCCAGACTAGTCTTGGACTCCTGAGCTTAAGCAATCCTCCCACCTCAGCCTCACAAAGTGCTAGGATTACAGGGGTGAGCCACTGTGCCTGGCCTCCAATATGATCTCATTTTAACTTGATTACATCTTCTCAGCCTTATTTCCAAGTAAGGTCACAGTCACAGGTACTAGAAGTTAAAAATTAAACATACTTTATTCCCCCTGTCTGGAAACTGCCAATAAACATAACTTTTTGAGGGACACAAATTCAACCCACAACAATACTACATTAGCACAACCGTGAAATTCTTTATTGGATGCAATTCTCATATTTGCTATTTCCTGATACCATTAATAGGAGACTTCAGGAACTACACACATACATATGTGCATACACAAACACACACACACACACACACACACACAGACACTTTGGCCTCCACCCAAAAGACTGACCAGTTAGGCCTAGAACAAGGGAGGGGCCGATTTTAGAACAATTCTAACCTTAGTTTGTCAATACTACTAGCCTTGTACCCTGAAATGGTATAGTACCTGAAGTTTAAGAATCATGCCCATGACATTTTGTTGAAATTTATCACGCTTGTAGTTACAATCCATTAAATCTACTTATCTGACCTTGATAAAACTAAACCAAGGCCGAGCGTGGTGGCTCACGCCTGTAATCCCAACACTTTGGGAGGCTGAGGAGGGCTGATCACAAGGTCAAAAGTTCGAGACCATCCTGGCCAACTTGGTGTAACCCCTTCTCTACTAAAAATACAAAAATTAGCCAGGCATGGTGGTGGACACCTGTAATCCCAGCTGCTCAGGAGGCTGAGGCAGGAGAATCACTTGAACCGGGAGGCGGAGGTTGCAGTGAGCCGAGATCATGCCACTGCACTCCAGCCTGGCAACAGAGCAAGACTCCATCTCAAAAAAAAAGAAAAAAGAAAAAACTTTACTAAACTTTTACTAAACTTCACTAAAGCTTGTATTTGATTTGTTTTTCTAGTAGAGTGATGGATTTCCACTGATCATATTCATTTTCCTGGTTGGCCTGGATCAGGGCTGTCATGCCAGGCCATAGAATAAAGTTGACTGGCCCGTATGTGACCTCACCTGCTCCATCCTCCTACTGACTGAGCTATTTGTCATGAATTAAGTTGTGTTCTCCTTAAGGTTACATGCAAAACTGACTTTCATTTGAAAGCACTTTCAGTGTATAATACAAGTGACATATTTCCTTTAAAGGACATCACTGTGAACATTATTAACAAGAGCTGTTTTTTTGAAGCATTCCCCAGTTGTCTGTCAGGTCACTGAGTTTTCACATGCTGATCTAAAATTCAATCAAGCCATGACATGTTTCATTTTACAGAAGAAACTAGCCAGGACCGGTGGAGTGGTTCATGCCTGTAAATCCAGCACTTTGGAAGGTCAAGGCCAGAGAATCACTTGAGCCCAGGGGTTCAAGACCAGCCTAGGCAACAACTACTTCTTTCTATGAAATTTACTTCAGAGAGTTTGCTTTCCTCTGTAAAAAAACAACCATCACAGGTAGATATTTAAAATATATCTATCTAGCTAGTGTGTTAAATATAAACATCATAGGTACAAAAAATCATTACAATGGGAAAGATAAGGCTGAAGGCAGGAACATTAGAAAAATGCAAATAACGTTAACATAGGCACATAACAAAGAAAGGGGCCATTTTTAAAAAGGCTCATTTCAACCTCATCGCCATTCATCATGTGTTTATGTTCAGCATGTATTTTAGCGCCACATAATGTTAAGGACCGCTGAGACAATAACAGACGATTCTGAACTTCAGTCTTATTCACAGATTAAAAATGTAATGAATACCATGTCAGTCTGATTTCTGATACAATTTTTTTTATTATTTTTTATTTTTTGAGGCAGAATCTCACTCTGTTACCCAGGCTGGAGTGCAGTGGCTATTCACAGACACAATCACTACACGGTACAGATTCTAACTCCTGGGCTCAAGCAATCCTCCTGCTTCAGCCTTCCAAGTAGCTGGGACTACAGGCATGCCCCACGTACCCGGCTGTCTTTCTGATACAATCTTGATAGGTACATAATAAAATGCAAGCAAATCCATACGTGGATATTTTTTATATGAATCTTTTGACAAACCCCTAAATGTAGATACCTTATTTTATTTTATTTTGTTTTATTTTTGAGATGGAGTCTTGCTCTGTCACCCAGGCTGGAACACAGTGGCACAATCTCGGCTTACTGCAGCCTCTGTGGCCTCCCCGGTTCAAGCAATTCTCCTGCCTCAGCCTCCCAAGGTTCTGGGACTACAGGCACATACCACCATGCTCAACTAATTTTTGTATTTTTAGTAGAAATGGAGTTTTACCATGTTAGCCAGCTGGTCTCGAACTCCTGACCTCAAGTGATCCACCTGCCTCGGCCTCCCAAAGTGCTGGTATTATAGGCGTGAGCCACCACACCCAGCCCATAGATACCTAATTTTAAAAAGGGAGAAACGTGGCACTTAGAAGTCAAAACTTGGCCAGGCGCGGTGGCTCATGCCTATAATCCCAGCACTTTGGGAGGCTGAGGTGGGCAGATCACGAGATCAGGAGATCGAGACAATCCTGGGTAACACGGTGAAACCCCACCTCTACTAAAAATACAAAAAATTAGCCGGGTGTTGTGGCACATGCCTGTAATCCCAGCTACTCAGGAGGCTGAGGCAGGAGAATTGCTTGAACCCAGGAGGTGGAGGTTGCAGTGAGCCGAGATCATGCCACCGCCCTCCAGCCTGGGTGACAAGAGGGAAAATCTGTTTAAAAAAAAAAAAAAAAGTAAGTCAAAACTTAAACAGATTGTCGAATTAGCACACGGAAATATATTCATTCATTCATTCATTCATTCATTCAGTTGATGTGTTTATTAGCAAAGATTTTTTTTTGCCTTCTACTCTGTTCCAGCCACTGAGCTAAATACAATGGGAGAGGGGAGGCATGTCAAATAGAACACAGTCTTTATCCTTAAAGTGCCAGATGCTTTTCTAAGTTTTAAAATGTATTATCTTTTTCATTTTCGTACTAATTCTCATAGTAAATCAGGGGCAGGGCAGTTTTTGTGGAGCATGAAACTCATACAATTTGAGGAATACACTTCAAGGAAAAGAATAGCATTAACCACTGCAATGCAATGCATTCTGTGTACCATTTTTCCCACGGGGCTTACAGTCTAGGCAGGAAGACAGACTGAGTAAATAGCTAATACGTGCTTAGAAAGATATATTGGTTCATCCTCAAATATTTATGCACACACACTACGTACAAGACATTCTTTTAGGTGCTTGGGATAAACAAAGATCCCTGCCCTTGTGAAGTTTCCATTCTAGCAAGAGAGATTTCTTTTAATGTAGTGAATAAATTAATGATATAGTATTAGAGGTTAATAAGTGCAATTTTTTAAAACTACTAAAGGATAAGAGGGAGATATGGAAAACAGATTGTAGTTTTAAGTAGCATAATCAGGGGAGATCTCATTGCCAGGTGATATTTCAGCAAAGATTTGAAAGAGCCAAATGTCACAACATGGATATCTGGGGGAAGAAGTTTAGGCACAGGAATAGGCATGTGCTTAAGATACAGCAAGAAGGAGGTGAGCTGCTGAGGAACTGATGAAGAGAATGGCAGGAGATAAGTATGAAAGTTAAGGGAGTCAGGGGATTGTTGTAAAACCATGTGAAGAATTTGTTTTTTACTATGAGATAAGGAGATATTGGAGGCAAAAGAGTAACAAGATCTGACCTACAATTTCAAAATGTCACCCTGGCTACTGTGTTGAATTTCTGGTAGCTCAGACCAGAATGGCAACAATGCAGATGATGAGAAATGCTAAGATCCTAGATATGCTTTGAAAGTAAAGCCAACAAGATTTGTTGGGGAGAGATAATGGGGTGTGAGACAAAAGGAGGAGTCAAGAATGACTCCAGGGTTTTGATCTGAGCCACTGGAAGGATAGAATTGCCTTTAAACAGGCAGGTTTTGAGAAGAAGCAGGAAGTCATTCATCTTGGGATATGTTATGTTTGAGATGTCTCCAAGATACCCAAGTAGAAATATCAACTAGGCACTTGAGTACATGAGTCTGGAATACAGGAGATACTGATTTGACGGAGTATCATGGAAGAGATGAAAAGGTGTGCCTGCCCTGGCCCACTCTGGAGGAATCAGTAAAAGCTGCCTACAGTGGAGGATACTCAATCAGAGGCCTTTGGTATAAAGGTCTTCCAAAGAGAAGTTCCCTCAAATCCTCACCCTGGAAGTTTTAAGACTAGTGGTTAGTCATGAAGACTATGTTGAATACAAAATACTGTGTTACTCAAAAACAAAAGATATGAAGGAAAAGGGAAATAAAAGAGTCCTGAGGGGAGGAAAACTGAGCTGGCTGCTTTCATCCTTTACTTTGTCATCACTTGGTCAGACAGAGATTGGATGCTTATGTCTTTGCCATACCAAGCTCACCTCCCATCCTGGACTCACCAATGTCTCCCCTTGCTCCTCACTCCCCTTACTCCTCACAAGTCTTTCTAAGGAAGCAGAAGTTCCACAATTCAGGACTCAGCAATGCTGACCTGCTCCCCGGGAAGGAAGATACATAAACCCCTGGTTAAGACAAGATGCAAAGTTCAAGGGCAAGAGAGGTTGTCCAGTGAATAATTTTCACAGATGAGGACTATAAATTATCTTCAGTATAAGGACGGCTCCTGTCCTATTCCTTCTATGCACTCTCTCTTCAAAACCCTTCACTCTCTGGCAATAAACCTGAAAAACAGGCCTTGTGACATTTGTTGTTCTATTCTTTTCCCCATATGTTTGCTGCATGTGATCATCCTGGTATCCTTGGTTACTTCTGCAATATTCAAGAGGCCCTCAAATGAACACAATAAGCCAATAAGTGGGTACAGCTACAAATAAATAGCTGTTGTCCGTAAGATTTTTTTCTCTGAGCACAGGAGATAGACTCAGGGGGCTCTAAGCAAACATCCCATTTATTCAACAAACATTTATCAACCATTTCCTACATTTGAGGAACTGTGCTAGGCCCTGGGGAGAGGATTCAAAGATGAACAGACATATTTCTGACCCTGAGGTCCTTTCAGGGCAGAGACACCATCCTTTTTCAAGCTCCACACCTGCTGTGGTTGCCTTTTCTCAGGTCATAAATCTTCGCCCTGGCCCAGCAAGTTTCCAGGCATAAAGAAACCATGCATGTTACTAGGTCATGCTATCTACTATAAAGTGGTAGGTCTCAACTGGAGATGATTTTGCCCCCCACGGGGCACTGGGCAATCAATGTCTGGAGATGTTTTTGGTTTTCCCAACTCGGGGTACTGGTAGGATTAGGGGGTGGTGTTGCTACTGTCATCTAGTGGGTACTCAGTCAGGGTGCTGCTAAACATCCTACAATGCACAGAACAGTTCCTATCCCCCACAACAAAAAATATCCAGCCCAAATGTCAATAGTGTTGAGACTGAGGCTGCTCTTTAGGGTCTTCATTTTAGCTATTTTGTCCTTATAACATGTGCCACTTTATTCAGCTACTTATTCTCTTAGCAACAGCAGTGCTAAGAAAGGCTCATGCCTGGCATTAAGATGCGGAAAGTAGGAAAAAAAGGAAGGAAGTGTATCCTCCTCCCACCTCTTGCTAGTGGCCAGCTGGAGGTCTTCCCAGGATTTATTTTGTCCTCTCTAACCAGGCCTAGAAAACTGCAGAAGGCCAGGTGCGGTGGCTCATGCCTGTAATCCCAGCACTTCGGGAGGCTGAGGCGGGTGGATCACTTGCGGTCAGGAGTTCAAGACCAGCCTGGCCAACATGGTGAAACCTGTGGTGCACACTTGTAATCTTAGCTACTCCGAAGTCTAAGGCAGGAGAACCGCTTGAACCCGGGAGGCAGAGGTTGCAGTGAGCCAAGATCGTTCCACTGCACTCCAGCCTGGGATACAGAGTGAAACTCTGTCTCAAAAAAAAAAAAAAAAAAAAAAGAAGCATTTTTCCTTAGGCAAGGCTGAAAGAGAAAAGAAATATTCCTGCCTCTAGGCTGGTAGGTAAAGGAGTTTGAAAAAGTTTTATTTAAAATATAGGCAATTTAACTGATTTATTTAAAAGTAGGAGTGGGTTGTGTGAAAAACAATAGATTTTCCTGCACAGAAAAAGAAAGGATCATCTCTAACTTTAATAAAAGTAATGACTCACCATTGCTCAAATTTAGAGAAAAACAAGCTGTCTGTATGTCACACATTATTTCCTGTCTATCCAGATGAGAACAGAAGCTCTTCAGTTCAGCTGAGCCAACCAAGAACGTGTCAATTCTCAGCCTTATTACCAGCTCTTCTTTATCTTATCTTTGAAAAGTCAGGCCAAATCCAAAAAGATACATCTGTTCTTCTACCCTTGCAACAGTAAAGTCATGGGAGCAGGGATGTAGGAAGCCACGGCAAGGAGGTCTCCATCCAGTAGGTGGCCCGGGATGAAGGCCGTGTTGGGGCTAAACCACACTCTGGAATTCTGTCAGCAAATTCCTCGCTGTGTGAACTTGAGCAAGCCATTCACCTTTCTTAAGCCATTTTCTTGATATTTCACAGAGACTCACCAAGTATTCAACGAGAACATGTAAGTGAAATGCTTCACAAAATGCCTGGTAAATAATAGATGCTTAGAAAATGGTAGAGAGAGAAAAGAGCAGTCTCTGCCCTTTAATGTACCTGTTTTTGCCCTCAAATCTAGATGCCATTCCTATAATTTGATAACTTTTCCTCAGACTTTCCAGAAGTAGAATTCCTTCCAGTTCATTAACAACATCCTCTGTCTCTTATACTAAGGACATATTTGGCTTCCTTTTGATTGCATAAGTATTTCTTAAAAGACACCTTGGGAGAGATGACATGTTTAAAATGCAGTGGAGTAACCTGCTCATAAACTCTGAGGCCCTGAACAAGGTGAGAACATGACAAATGAACAGGGATTATGTGCTGCATCGCACGAGAGTTCCAAAACAGGAAAATTGACTTTACTGGGTGCGGCTCTACAGTCATATAACATGGTTTACAGTTTAAAATATCGACTATAAAAGCCAACTCAGAGTGAGTTTTGGGTTGGTCATAACCACTGCAAAAAAAAAAAAAAAAAAAAAAAAAACCATTCACACTGAGAGCGACCTTTATACCTGTTTGGGTTTCTTAGTAACTTATTTTAACAGATTGTCTATACAAGATGGAGTTTTATGACTGGTATCAGTTCAAAGGTGGAGAAAATGTGAACCAAGTGTGTTTAGCTATATTTTCCAGTGCATTTATTTCTCATGAAATGTAACAACAGATGGACTCCTGGAGTATGGAATTTCCTTTCTTTTCGAAAGGAATAAGTACCCAACAAGCAAAAACTATAAAATGAATGTCACTGTTCTTCCAATTGTCCCAATGGGGAAGATACTGTTTAAAAAGCATTCACTCCAGTTAGCGAACAAAAAATAACAACCTGTACCAAGCCATTTTCTTTCCCCCAAGCCCATTGTCTCTAAAGATGCTCATCTTTCGCCTTCAAGCCCTTTTCACAGGTGCAGAAACGTAAAATGCAGAAATGAAGTCTAGGACTATAGATTGTCAATCAGTAAACAAGGAGAGATGTGAGAAATTAGATTCTGTCATAGAAACAAATAATCACATTGGGAGAGTGGAAACGATGATTATTTCCTTGCTAATCATCCTCCTTGAAAAAGATACCTATAAATTAATATGCATTTGATATGGATTATTTTTGACCCGTATGCATTTCAGGAAATAAAAACTGGATTCAGAAAGGCCTGTGAGGCCCAGTGCGGTGGCTCTCACCTGTAATCCCAGCACTTTGGGAGGCCAAGGTGGGTGGATGACCTGAGGTCAGGAGTTTGAGACCAGCCTGGCCGACATGGTAAAACCCCGTCTCTACTAAAAATACAAAAATTTGCCAGGCGTGGTGGCACGCACCTATAGTCCCAGCTACTCGGGAGGCTGAGGCAGGAGAATCACTTGAACCTGGGAGGCGAAGGTTGCAGTGAACCGGGATCATGCCACTACACTCCAGCCTGGGCGACAGAGCAAGACTCTGTCTAAAAAAAAAAAAAGAAAGAAAGAAAAGCCTGTGAGTTGAGGGGAAGGGGTGGTAAATAAGGCTATCCTCTGGGTAAAAGCTCTCAAAGCAAAAAGCTGTCACAGGTCCTCTGCTACATGCTAGTCAAGAGCAACCCAAGATTGAGAGGAGAAATACCTCAACTCCTCCAAAGAACTGCTTCTCCCCACTAGCACCTTCATGGCTAGGAGGTGGGAGGGAGGGTGTTAAGTCAGCTCAGCTGGTATCTTGCTCGGTTTTGCATTTGCATGCATCTGTATCCTCTTTTGTTTCCCCGGAAGTGGAAGTTATTAAAGTATCACAAGAATGCTGGGTCTCACAATGTTCCTGTCTGCCCTGTTCAAGGAAGTAGGCAGAATAGTACACTGGTCCCTGTTCTTGGAAAATTTGCAGCACAAAGAAAAGAAAGAAAAAAAACAGAAAAGATGAGATAAACCCTGATTAAGCAGACAAGCTTCATAATGTTTATCCAAATTAAATCTCTTCACATTGGTGTTTACCCATCATTAATTCTTATGTAATCACATTAGAGGAAAAACGCCTTGCATTAGTGGATGCTGATATTGGCCTTATGAAAGCGAGTTACCTTTTCTTATAGCAAATCTGTAGCAAGCCAATACGGAGGCTCCAGTCAGTTTATCAAAAGTTATCAGTCAAATGGAGTCAGAGGACAGTTCTAATAGAGACTCAAGGATGAAAGAAGAAAATCTGAAAAGAATCACTTTGAAAAGCTTGAGAGCCATTAGATTTGTGAGACCCAGAGCTAGGAAGACAGTAAAAACTGGGAAAACCTGTGATTTTTTTTGATGGGGGACATTTCTTTTTCCTGCCTTTTGTCTGTGAAAATGGCACTTTTGGCTAACAGCTCCAGAACTGCAGGAGGAATGATACATGCAAATGGTTTGCTTCTCATCCCATCTCTCTCTCATGCTTCAGTTCAGCAAAGCAACCCAAGTATCGGCACGAAAATAAGACAACCTAGCCTCCCACTTTGCTTGAATGATTTCCATATCCAGTAGGACAAGTTCTCCTGGGACAGGCCTGTAACCACAGGCACATGTCTCACCCTGTTAAGACGCAACAGCAGGTAAAGCAACCTGAACTCCTCACAGTAGAATCGGGTACACAAACTCACACCCACGCGCAAAAGTGAGGGAAGGCAACCTGGACAAAACTTTCCATCATTTGCTTCCAAAGCAGATATTCCTCAGGGGGAAGGGCGCAGGGAGGGCAGCTCCACGGACAGAGGCGTGCCCAAACCTTTCCACTTGCTTTGTTGTTCTACCTCTGAGCATTCGAGCAGGAATCTGAACCAGATGTGGGGTTAAAAGCATCACTTTGGAAGTTTCTGGGAATGAAAAATGACCTCCTCTCAAAAGAATTTTTTTTTCTACTTTGCTCTTTGTTTAAGTTTCCCTTTTATGGTACTTTCTTTTCTCCCCTCTTTCTCTTAAACCCACTGCACTCCTCTCATTTGGAGCTATCCATTGACACAGGTCGTCCCTCAATCTCTTATTACCCACACTGAAAGTTTCTCTTCTACTGGTGAATAAAACTGGTTCATTCTAGGACATCACCATTGTCCAGTTCTGTTTGTCACATTTTAACTCTTTACTGAGTCACAGGGCCTGGGTAGGACAGGGGACCTTGGTTAACCACTCTGTCATTAATTCAGGCAACAAATATAGAGCATAGTAATAAACAACATGGGCTTGGGACAAAGAACAGAAATGGTTTTAGATTCCAGGTCCAACACTTCACTAGCTGTGTGACCATGGTCATGTCCATGAATATCTTTAAGCCTCAGTTTCCTCACAACATATGGACATAATATACTGTTTGTTACTTTCCACCTGGATTGTTATGAGAATTAAATAAGGTAATGTATGCAAAGCAGTTAGCATAGTGCCTGGCATACAGGAAGCTGAGTAATAGAGGCCATTATCAGCATCATCACAACCATCATTGTTACTAAGCTACACACAGTGCCATGCCAGACAATGGGAAAGAAACATGAATAAGGTTCTGCCACCAAGAAGCTCATAGTCTACTCTTAGACACACACACACATGCTCTAATCCCAGCACTTTGGGAGGCTGAGACAGGTGGATTGCTTGAGGCCAGGAGTTCAAGACCAGCCTGGGAAACATAGTGAGATCCTGTCTCTACAGGGGACAAAAAAAAAAAAAAAAAAAAAAAAAAAAAAAAAGTTTTTTTAAAGAAACAAACACATACTTATTACAGGTCTTTTAAAATTTGTCTAGCAGGTTTTCCAATATTTACTGGAAACCCTCCCCCACCTGCCACACACACAAAAGAAAGACACAGACATGTAAACAAATAATAATATAACAAACTCAATCTGACCTTCTGCCCCCATTTTTCTGAATTCCTTATATTCAAAAAGGTACAGAGCTATGCCTTTGGATCAATGAACTGAAGCTAATTTTTTTTTTTTTTTTTTTTTTTTTTTTTTACTCAACACACTCCCCAAACCACTATCTGTTATTATTTTATTTTTCTCATGAATAGGAACCACCCATGAGAAAATATGCTGCTTTGGAAATCATAAGAAGCTCATTCTCTGGGTTCAAATAAAACCACTACAAATCAGAACAGCAGATTTAGGACCTCCCACCCCAATTCAACATACCCACAATTCCATTAAACCTAGGCAGCTTCTAAAAATCTGATATTAGTGGCCAACATGGCTGGCTCTCAGAATTGTTAATCACGTTAGTAAATGAATCATTCACTAAAGAGATCAGGGCTGGTATTCTGACACTAATTCCCAAAATGCAGAATACAAAACTGAATCATATCTGCCATTTTTAGGTGACTCTGGCCGTGGGCTTAGATTACCAAGCTTTGACAAAATACTGAATTTTTTCTCTGTCGTGCCTTAAGCTTTTTATCATGATAACAAGGTATGCTTTTGTTGCAATGTAGCTGGAAAAAAAAAACAAAAAAAATCTTAAAAATTTTTCCACATCTACATGCTCCAAATTTTTGTAGAAGTCTTTATGACTGTTACTTTGATGTATATGCCAAACAGGATAAACCCATGAAAGGCAACACTGCTAATGAACACAAGGAACTTTATGTAATTGTAATAGCCCGTTTGGCTAGTTTTATGGGTGTGTGTACATTCAATTTTGAGTTGAGCAATATCCAATTTGGCAATGAGATAGAATAATATAAGTCTTTCTGCTTGTTTGTTTTAATTACTAACAACCAGAGAAAAACTATTCACAGCAGCCAAAAGAATTCAAATCAGAAATGAACTTTGCTACTTGCAGACTGCCATTAATATGCCTACAATGGATGTCATTTATTTGGGAATTGCAAAAGTCATAAGGGGCAAATGTGGAGATGCGATAAATGAGGAACACAAGTATAGGTAGATACTACATTTTTTTGAATAATGAAACCACTTTCTTTCCAAGTTGTAAAGGAAGTCCCAGTAATAGTCATCATTCATTCAGGGATACCTATTGCGTGCTATTGTCCAGGTGTGTTCTAGGTGCTGGAGATAGCACAATGAACAAGTAGGCAAAATACCCTTTACAGAACTTACATTTTAATGAGCAATACACAAAATAAACAAGACACCAGCCTATGCAACACAGCAAAATCCCTTCTCTACCAAAAAAAAAAAAAAAAAAAAAACCACTAGCTAGACATGGCGGCATGTGCCTGTAGTTCCAGCTACTCAGGAGGCTGAGGTGAGAGGATCACCGGAACCCAGGAGGTTGAGGCTACAGTGAGCCACGATCACACCACTGCACTCCAGCCTGGGCAATAGAGCAAGACTCTGTCTCAAGAAGAAAACAAAAAGCAAATAAATCATTAAAAGTTTAATTTCAGGTAGTAGAGTGCTGTCAAGACAGCTAGTTGGAGGGTGGCTCTGGAAGAGCTGACATTTGAGCAGGGATCTGAGTGGCATTGGGTGGGGGAGGGCACAGCCATGCTGGAATCTGGTAGGAGAACATTCCAAGTAGAGGAAACAGCAAGAGTAAAGGTCCAGGGGCAGGAATCCACTGAGTGTTCAAGGAATATCCAGGAGCCAGTGAGGATGGAGCATTGTGAATCGAGGAGAGAGGTAGGAAGTAAGATCAGAGGTCTTGACGGGGCTGGGAACACACAGGACATTGTGGGGGTGCAGAGACATTTGGATTTTAATCTAAGTGTAATGGAAGCCATGGAAGGGTTTTATGAAGATGAGGGATGAGATCAGATTTCTGCTCTCATGACATTGTTCTGGCTTCTGTGTGTGGATAGTCTCAAGAATAAAAGCCACAAGCCCAGTTAAGAGGTTATGAAAAGAGTTAGGCAAGAGATAATGACGGCTCAGACCAGGGGCTTTATAAGGAGCACTATAAAGGCATCAAATCCAAAAAGTTACACATTGAGGCAATAAGCGATGCAATAGAAGTTGAGTGCAGTGGCACACACTTATAGTCCAAGCTACTTGGGAGACTGAGAAAGGAGACTCACTGGAACCCAGGAGTTTGAAGCTGTAGTGAGCTATAAGCACGCCACTGCACTCCAGCCTGGGCAACAGACTGAGACCCTGTATCTAAAAATAAGGCTAGGAGAGGTGGCTCACGCCTGTAATCCCAGCGCTTTGGGAGGCCAAGGCAGGTAGATCACTTGAGGTCGAGACCAGCCTGGCTAACATGGCGAAACCCCATCTCTACTAAAAATACAAAAATTAGCCAGGCGTGGTGGTACACGCCTGTAGTCCCAACTACTCAGGAGGCTGAGGCAGGAGAATCACTTGAACCCCGGAGGCGAAGGCTGCAGTAAGCCAAGATCGCACCACTGCATTCCAGCCTGGGTGACAAGAGTGAGACTCTGTCTCAAAAAAAAAATAAGAAAAAAGATATACAGTAGATAAAAGTCAAGAACCAACGTTTCCCCTAAAACTGTATTCATTAATGGCTATATCTACTGTACCTAAAAAGGTGCTCAAAAATGTTTGTTAAATGAACCAACTGACCTCAGAGTTGGCAAACATAAACTCCACTCATTTATGTTGTACCTAACAGTTCTTTGCCTTGGTCTTACTTTCAGATACATAGCGGTGGTCAGTAAGAAAATAATGGGGATAAAATACCCTGCCACAGTCTTCAGTGGGCAATCACAAGTCATGCAGTTATAAATAGCTCCAGTTGACTTTATATGGAGGTGTGTGTAAGTGAAATAAAAGTTGTCCTCAGCCAGTCACAGTAGCTCACACCTATAATCCCAGCACTTTGGGAGGCCAAGGAGAGAGGATCACTTAAGCCCAGGAGTTCAAAACTAGCCTGGGCAACACAGGGATACCTCATCTTTACAAAAATAAAAAATAAAAATTAGCCAGGCATAGTGGTGCACCCTGTGATCCCAGGTACTTGGGAAGCTGAGGTGGGAGGATTGCTTGAGCCCAGGAGATCGAGTCTACAGTGAGCCACGATTGTGCCAATGCACTCCAGCCTGGGTGACAGAGTGGGACTCTATCTCAAAAAATAAAATAAAATAAAAGTTGTCCTCTCCTTCAGGGCTCCAATTTTTGCTTAGATTTTATTTAATAGGCTCCTCATTGCCTACTGAGTAGAATTCATACTCCTGGGCCTGGTATTTAAAGTCTTCCATATTCTATATACCCACCCCTCTTACTTCCACAACTTTCACTTTGAACGCCTTATATTCCAGTCAAATTGAATTGCTCATTGTTGATGCCCTGTAAGTTTCTTTTCTGCTTCCATATCTTTGCCAATGCTGGGGATTTCCTCCTCCACCATTCTCCAATTATCCTTCACAAGATCTGGTTCAATCTTCCTAACTTTTTGCTCAACAATATCCCCTCGCTTCAAATCTTTCCGTCAAGGTTGAATTTCTAAAAATTGACACCCTACAAACTGGAGGGGAGATCCACCCATCTGCCAGTTACTTTGTCGTGTGTGTGTTTTTAGGGCAAAGAGGAGCCTTGCACAAGTCATTGGCTAATGCGTGTCAGGAAAAGCCCAGACAGGGGTTCGTCTTCTTTTCCTGTCTCTATCATAGAAGGAAGAGTCTGGTTCCATGCTGCATTAAACTCCACTTCTTGATGCAAAAGTTAGACTGAAACAAGCTAAGAACAACCACAGACCAATTTTTCTAGCCTATCTGAACTCACAGGCCTTAGCATAAGTCAAGAGGCACAAGTTTAGACCTAGCCACATCTCCTTTCCAACACAACAGACATCTTTATGAACTTGTAAGTTTCTTGATCTCAGTTACCTCATCTGTAAAAATAGGGAGAATCATTCCACCTACCTCACAAGGCTTGTTTTGCAAATTAAGTTAGTTAACATAAGTAACAGTGTCTAGCATATGTGTTTGATTTACCATTCATATCAGGTCTTTTCTGGGAGGGACAGAAGCCATATAACTAACTACTCACAATTGTTGATACAGATAAATACCATCTTTTTGGTAGTCAGATGTTGTCCAGCCCTAGAGGAGGGTCAAAACTACTTAAATTTTGCATCTTTACAAGAACTTAAATTCCAGCCACTGATGAACGTAAATTCACACAGGCCTGTGAACTATGCTACATGCCAGTCAGTCCAAATACCCACCCTATCTAAAGCTACTGCTATATAAATGGGCACTGCAAATGGGCATCCCCAGTGACTCATAGAACACACAAACACAATCAAAGCAGGTCACAGAAGTTCAAAGGGAGAAGCTAATGCTCTATGGCTTCTGTGAGCAATGGTTCTCATAGACCTGTTGGACTCCTAGCAGAAGATGCATGACCAAAAGAATCCCACCCCACTCCTTGGAGCCCCATTACCAGCATTTCTCTCCTCCATCATCCATAGCCATACTGTGGTGTCCTATACTGTATGCCACCTTCTAGAAGGTAAGTTTAAGCCTTAAAGTAAGGCTTAAAATACACCCCCTGCATGTGAGTCACTCATACTCTGGTAGTAGGAAGTCCTTTCAGTAAAGGCAGCTCACCATCACTGTGGAGAATATATATTTCCTTGTTCATTGTCTTGCTTTTCCACATAACCTACTCTCATACCTCAGGCTCTGGTATTTATTTGTGCTGTACATCAGTTCTAATGCCTATACTTCAAACACCTCCTGTTTTGATGATGACCATAACAATGATGAGGATGATGATGATGATGGTGATGGTGAGGATGATGGTGGTGATGGTGATAATATTGAACACTTACTATGACCCAGAGACTATGCTCAGTGACTCATAAATATAGCTCCTCACAGCAACCTAATGAATAAGGTATTATTATTCTCACTTAACTCATGAAGAAACTGGGGCTTAGAAAGGTTATATAACTTGATGAAGTCACTTAGTCAGGAAGTGACAGAGCCAGAACTTAAGCTTAGAACAATCTGGTCCACAGCCCATAACCTTAACTGCTTTAGTTTCCTTTCTCTTTTTTTTTTTTTTTTAATTTATAGGTTTTTTCGTTTTTGTTGCTGTTGTTTGTTTGTTTGTTTGTTTTTTGAGACGGAGTCTTCCTCTTGTTGCCCAGGCAACAAGATCGTGCAATGGCACAATCTTGGTTCAATGCAACCTCCGTCTCCCAGGTGCAAGCAATTATCCTGCCTCAGCCTCTGGAGTAGCTGGGATTACAGGCGCCCACCACTACACTCGGCTAATTTTTGTATTTTTAGTAGGGGCAGGGCTTCGCCATGTCGGCCAGGCTAGTCTTAAACTCCTGACCTCGCGATCCGCCTGCCTCGGCCTCCCAAAGTGCTCGGATTACAGGTGTAAGCCACTGTACCCGGCTTTTTTTTTTTTTTTGAGACGGAGTCTCGCTTTGTTGCCAGGCTGGAGTGCAGTGGCACCATCCCCCTCACCACATCCTCCGTCTCCTGGATTCAAGTGATTCTCGTGCCTCAGCCTCAGGAGCAGCTGGGATTACAGGCATGCGCCACTACCGCCTGGCTAATTTTTGTATGTTTTGTACATGAGCCACCATGCCCGGCTTTTTTTTTTTTTTTTTTTTTTTTTTTTTTTTTTTTTTTTTTTTTTTGAGATGGAGTCTTGTTATGTCACCCAGGCTGGAGTGCAGTGGCACCATCTTGGCTCACTGCAACCTCTGCCTCCCGGGTTCAAGCGATTCTCTTGCCTCAGGCTTCCGAGTAGCTGGGATTACAGGCGTCAGCCACCAAGCCTAGCTCATTTTTTTGTATTTTTTGTAGAGACGGGGTTTCACCATATTGGCCAGGCTAGTCTCGAACTCCTGACCTTAAGTGATCCGCCCGCCTCCGCCTCCTAAAGTGCTGGGATTATAGGCGTGAGCTTACTGTACCCAGCCCTTTCTCCCTTTTAGATGACCCGTTTTCACCCACGTCTTGATCCCACCCTGCCTATTGACATGTCCCTCAGTTTGGACACATTTGCCACAGGCCAGTATATTTCTTGGGTCTAACCAGAGAGAGAAGCCTACCTCTGACTTCTCCATCAGGGAAGACGGACCAGGCAACGAAACAGAATTACATAGTTGTTGTATATGCTTATTCCTGGGAAACCTTATATTGGAGCATAGCTAACTCAATACTTATGGCCAGCATACTTCTTTTTCTGACATCTAATATAGACGTAAAAAAGCTATGTAACTCTTTCCAGCCCCCTTTAAGACAAGAATACCCATATGGAACACATCTAACCAATAAGAAGCAAGTGGAAGTCTAAAAGGAGTGAACAAGCTTCTAAAAAAACATCTATTATCTTCATAAAAAGGAAACAAGGTCAGGGCGAGGCACGGTGGCTCACTCCTGTAATCCCAGCACTTTGGGAGGCCAAGGTGGGCAGATTACTTGAGGTCTTGAGGTCAGGAGTTTAACACCAACCTGGCCAACATGGTGAAACCCCGTCTCTAAAAAAATTCAAAATTAGCTGGGCATGGTGGCCTGCACCTGTAATCCCAGCTGCTCAGGAGGCTGAGGCAGGAGAATCATTTGAACCTGGGAGGCAGAGGTTGCAGTGAACCAAGATCGTGCCACTGCACTCTAGCCTGAGCAACAGAGGGAGACTCCATCTCAAAAAAAAAAAAAAAAAGAAAAAAAAAAAAGCTTGGGAAACGGGGTCACTAGTTCTGACCCATTGCCCTTGTTGCCTTGAATACAGATGTGATACCCAGGAACAAAGCAACCATCTTTTTTTTTTTCTTTTTTCTAGGTTCAGGGGTACATGTGTAGGTTTGTTATATAGGTAAATTGTGTGTTGCAAAATAATCTGTATTACCATAATCTGCATTACTATGATTATTACCCCTGGTACACTGATAATATTAGCATAGTACTCAATAGGTAGTTGTTTTGATCCTCTCCCTCTGCCCTCAAGTAGGCCCAGAGATGTTCTTCCTTTCTTTATGTCCATATGTACTGAAAGTTTAGCTCCCACTTATAAGTCAGAACATGCAGTATTTGGTTTTCTGTCCCTATATTAGTTTGTGTAGGTTAATGGCCTCCAGTTCTATCCATGTTGCTGCAAAGGACACGATCTTATTCTTTTTTGTGGCTGCATAGTATTCCATGGTGTATATGTACCACATTTTTTTTATCCAGTCTACCACTAATGGGCATTTAGGTTGATCCCATGTCTTCGTTATTATGAATAATGCTGCAATGAACATATGCGTGCATGTATCTTTGTAGTAGGATGATTTATATTCCTTTGGGTATATACCCAGTAATGGGATTGCTGGGTTGAATGGTAATTCTATTTTAAGTTCTTTGAGAAATAGCCAAACTTCTCTCCACAATGGCTGAACTAATTTACATTCCTATCAGCAGTGTATAAGCATTCCCTTTTCTTCACAACCTCGCCAGCATTGTTATTTTTTGACGTTTTAATAATAGCCATTCTGACCTGTGTGAGATGGTATCTCATTGTGGTTTTGATTTGCATTTCTCTAATGATTAGTGAGGTTTAGAATTTTTTCATATGCTTATTGGCCACATGTATGTCTTCTTTTGAAAAGTGTCTGTTCATGTCCTTTGCCCACTTTTTATTGGGGTTCTTTGGGTTTTACTAGCAAATTTGTTTATGTTCCTTATAGGTTCGGATACTAGACCATTGTCAGATGCATAGTTTGCAGATATTTTCCCCCATTCCATAGGTTGTCGATTTACTATATTTATAGTTTCTTTTGCTGTGCAGAAGCTCTTTAATTTAATTAGGGCCCATTCATCAATTTTTGTTTTTGTTGCAATTGCTTTTGGCATCCTCGGCATGAAATATTTGCCAGATCCAATGTCCAGAATGGTATTTCCTAGGTTATTCTCCAGGGTTTTATAGTTTTAGGTTTTATATTCAAGTCTTTAATACTTTTTGGGTTGATTTTTACTTATAAGGAAGGGGTCCAGTTTCAATCTTCTGCATATGACTAGCCATTCGCCTGGCACCATTTATTGAATAGGAAGTCCATTCCCCATTGCTTGTTTTTGTCAGCATTGTCAAAGATCATAGTTGTAGGTGTGCAGCCTTATTTCTGGGCTCTCTATTCTTTCCATTGGTCTACGTGTCTGTTTTTGTACTCGGTACCATGCTGTTTTGGTTACCGTAGCCCCCTATAGTATAGTTTGAAGTTGGGTAACGTGATGTCTCCAGCTTTGTTCTTTTCGGTTAGGATTAACTTGGGGTCTTTTCTGGTTCCAAATGAATCTTAAAATAGTTTTTTCTAGTTCTGTGAAAAATATCACTGGTAATTCGATAGAAATAGCATTGAATCTGTAAATTGCTTTGGGCAGTATGGCCATTTTAACAATATTGAGTCTTCCTATCCATGAACATAGAATGTTTTTCCGTTTGTTTGTGTCGTCTCTGATTTCTTTGAGCAGTATTTTGTAATTCTCATTGCAGAGATCTTTTACCTCCTCCTTTAGCTGTATTTCTAGCTATTTTATTTTTCTTGTGGCTACCGTGAATGGGGTTGTGTTCTTGATTTGGCTCTCAGCATGGATGTTGTTAGTGTATAGAACTGCTATGGATTTTTGTACATTGATTTTGTATCCTGAAGCTTTGCTGAAGTTGTTTATCAGATCAAGGAGCTTTTGCGCAGAGACTGTGGGGTTTTCTAGGTACAGAGTCATATCATCTACAAACAGGGAGAGTTTGACTTCCTGTCTTCCTATTTAGATGCCTTTTATTTCTTTCTCTTGCCTGATTGCTCCAGCTAGGACTTCCAGTGCTATGTAGAATAGGAGTGGTGAGATGGGGCATTCTTCTCTTGTTCCAGTTTTCAAGGGAAATGCTTCCAGCTTTTGCCCATTCAGTATAATGTTAGTTGTGGCAACCATCTTGAGACAATGAGTCAGCATGCCAATATACTGAGGATGTTGGATCAGAAATTTACAAAGAATCTTGGATTTTGGCCAGGCATGGTAGCTCATGCCTGTAATCCCAACACTTTGAGGGGCTGAGGCAGGAGGATCACTTGAGCCTCACCAGCAAAGAGAGACCTCATCTCTACCAAAAAAAAATTTTTTTTTAATTAGCCAGGCACAGTGTGATCATGCCACTGCACTCCAGTCTTGGTGACAGAGTGATATCCTGTCTCAAAAAACCAAACCCAAAAAACGAAATGAAACAATCTTGGACTTTGAAGACATTGTTGCACTTTTGCTGACCTATTTGTTCTTTTGTTTGTTTTGTTTTATACAGACAGAGTCTCACTTTGTCGCCCAGGCTGGAGTGCAATGGTGCAATCTCAGCTCACTGTAACCTCAACCTTCCAGGTTCAAGTGATTCTCCTGCCTCAGCCTCCCGAGTAGCTGGAACTACAGGCATACACTACCACACCCGGCTACTTTTTGTATTTTTAGTAGAGATGGGGTTTCACCATATTGGCCAGGCTGGTCTCAAACTCCTGACCTCAAGTGATCCACCCACCTCAGCCTCCCAAAGTGCTGGGATTACAGACATGAGCCACCATGCCCAACCCTGCTCACCTATTTGTAAGTGAAATAATTAAACGTGTTTATGCTTAAACCAGTCAGGTTCACATACTTGCAACATAAACATTCCTTACTGATATGAGAGTAAAAAATAAATGGCTTGTATTATATATTAACAAGTCTTTCTAAGAAATCCTTTGCTAGCTTCTAAATGTACTAAGTTAAAACTTCTAGGGGTGGCCATATGGGTTCTGGGCTAAAAGGAGCCTAATACCCTTACTACAGTGACTCCAGTGCAATCTCAATAAAGTTCAATTGTATCAGGCCAGGGACTGTGGCTCACACCTGTAATCCCAGCACTTTGGGATGCCGATGCAGGCGGATCATTTGAGGCCAGAAGTTTGAGACCAGCCTAGTCAACATGGTAAAACCTTGTCTCTACTAAAAACACAAAAATTAGCAGGGGGCCGGGCATGCAGTGGCTCACGCCTGTAATCCCAGTACTCTGGGAAGCTGAGGTGGGCAGAACACTTGAGGTCAGGAGTTCAGGACCAGCCTGGGCAACATGGTAAAACCCTGTCTCCACCAAAAAATACAAAAATTAGCTGAGCATGGTGGTGTGTGCCTGTAGTCCAAGCTACTCGGGATGCTGAGGCAGGAGAATCACTTGAACCCAGGAGTTGGAGGTTGCAGTGAGCCAAGATCTTGCCACTGCATTTCAGCCTGGGTGACAGAGCAAAACCCTGTCAAAAAAAAAAAAGAAAAAAAAAAACAGAAAAAAGCTCAATTGTATCAAATTGTATATGGTACAATGAATGAAGGGAAATATAAGTTCAAACAAATATACTCACCTGTATGAATTTAAGCTACACAATACCACATAAAAATAGCAAGTAATATCCACATGGGGAAAAAATAGCAAGTAATATCCAGGACTCAGAGCCAGAAACCTGGGCTCTGATCCCTGTCTTGCTGTCTTGGGCATATTGTTTAAGCCTCTAGGCCTCCGTATCCTCATTTGTGAAATGAGACGGGGAACCAGGAAACTTCTTGAGGCAGAGGCAGATCTAGAACACTTCAGTTCTTTGATTCTGTGTATTTTCCCACTCTAAGATAAAAACACATGGCTTTGAGGTCAGTAAACTTTCCTTTACCCTAGCAAGAGCATGAAAATACAACCTTCTATCTCTACTTTCTGGATGCATTGAGTGCAAAGGTAAATATTCCTTAGCAAATTACATGGTAAAATTGCAGCAGAAGGATCTGCTGACAGTGTACATCATTATCCGAAGTTAGACCAAATCATAAGACAGACAGAATCAGTGTTTATTTCTTGAAACTTCTTTGTGACATAGGGCAGCCAGGGACCTCATCTGCTCCATATCAAGAGACTCACAGAGAGGACCTATCTGAGTCAGGGGTTACATAACCAGAATCGAAGCTGCCCCAGGGTCACCTCATAGAGCAAATTTTTCCTCTGCCACCTCTGCCATAGTACCTGTCATCTTCCATTCTAAATCTACCTAGCCATCCCTTGCCCCAAACAAAATTAATTTCATCTCATTTTCCCTTCTAGGTCACTGTTCTCTGCTTCCAAGTTGATATAACTAGATTACCACATAAACTAATCCCATGCCATTACATCAAAAGGAGAATTCTGGCCCCAAAGATAATGTTAAACCAAGAAAAACAAAACAAAAAAAAAAGGTGTAAAATATATCTGAGTGATAAATGCAAGAAAATCAAAAATCTCAAAATCGTAAAATCCTGTCACTCAATTCTTCCATATTCTTTCTTTATATAAAATAACATGATTTAGTTCTATAAGTAGTTGTTGAAGACTTTCTATATTGAAAGTTGTTTCTAGACACTTCAGGGAGCTTGCAGATAGATGAATAACATAGGTTCTCTAACATCGAGGAAATTAAACTTTATTATCAGGGTAATTATATAAATAGCTCTAATATATGACAATTCAGAAAGCAATATGGAAATATCAGGAGGAAGGAATTAATTTCCACTGAAAACATTTTAAAAGGCTTCAAAGAAGAACTAGAACCTAGGATGAGATGGCATAGGCTGGTAGTCCCAGCTACTCAGGAGGCTCAGACAGGAGGATTACTTGAGCCCAGGAGTTTGAGGCCAGGCTGGGTGACATAACAAGACCCCCATCTTGAAAAAAAAAATTAATTAACTTAAAAAAATAAAGCCTGGATGGATGTAGTCAATGGTTCATGTTTATGTTGTATTCTGAAATATGTTTTCCTGCTTCTCAAAAGTCCCAAATTGCCCAGAACATAACTTAGATCAACAAGTAAAGAAACTAAATTGGTATTTTGAATGAGCTCGCCAGGATCTCAGTGGCATAACAAGATTTAACTCTTAAGAAAGGGCTTTGTTGCCTACCCATCACATATGACAAAGGTAAGCAAGGAAAGAGAATGTTGAACCCAAAGCCCTTCCCAAATCCTACCAGCAAGAAAGACCTCCCAGAAGCTCAGGTCCCAAAGACCTCGACTCAACAGTCATTTCTTTCATTCCCAGATTTCTTCCTCCCTCAACTCACACCTCCTATCACCTCCTTCATACCCTTCCTAGCCAGTATTCTGGCTTTTGCTTTTTTTTTTTTTTTTCGATGGAGTCTCACTCTGTCACCCAGGCTGGAATGCAGTGGCATGATCTCGGCTCACTGCAACCTCCACCTCCCAGGTTCAAGCGATTCTCATGCCTCACCCTCCCAAGTAGCTGGGATTACAGATGTGCACCACCACGCCCGGCTAATTTTTGTATTTTTAGTAGAGATGGGGTTTCACCATGTTGGCCAGGCTGGTCTCAAATTCCCGACCTCAGGTGATCCACCTGCCTCAGCCTCCCAAAGTGCTGGGATTACAGGCCTGAGCCACTGCGCCCAGCCTGGCCTTTGCTTCTGATATGCTTCTTCCCATTGCTTCCATGTGTCATGTTGATTTAAAAAAAAAAAATCATGTTGTAAGGTGCTGTCCTTTATAGGAAACAATAATGAAAATTAAAAAATAAGAAAAAATAAATGGTTCTGTCTAATGCTAAAGCAGTGAGCGGCCAAGAAGCTATAAAGATCTGTTTAGAATCATGACCACTTAGCAGGCTCAAGGACACTAGGACTTTATGACCATTAATTAGTTTATCCTCCCTGAGTCCCTCTAAGGCATCTCTTATTATCTCCATTTGACAAATAGAACAAAACTAAAATGCAGAGAAATTGACTAATTGACTGAGTTGCAATAAGGGGAAGAAGATGCAGGAAGACTATTAAAAAGCAAGTCCTATAATGAAACTTGAAGATTCTGAATCCATGCCGGGATTTCTGCAACATATTAGCATCTAAGCTTTTTGAAGCTGGGAGATTCTTGGAGAGTCTCTCATTTACTTACCTCCATTTTCCAAACCAGAAAATTAAGGCCTGCAGAGATACAGATTAGCTGAAAGTCACACTGTGACTTAGAAGACTCCAACCCAGGCATCCTGGCCCCAGAGACAGTTCTCTTTTCTCCACATTGAGGAAACCCAGGGCTGGAGACATGAAGTCACACAAGTTGCTGATGGCAGAGCTATACAAGAGCCCCAGGAGAGACACAACAACAGATGTATGCTTTCCACACTGTACAAAGATGCCTGGCTAAGGAGGCCAGCTATGCCTAAAATCCAAACCACATGCTCTTGGTCAAGCTATATTCTCTGGAATAAGAATCCACCCGTCTGGGATATATCCATCTGTCTGCCCACAGGGCTGCCACCAAGAGAGAAGGTACCTTCTAATATGCACTAAGGCTCGGTAAAGACTAGCAGCAGCTCTGAGCCCAAGTCTCTTGTCTCTTTTTCTAGTGCTAAATAAGAAAATAAGTTGTCTTCAGAATATGGAAAAAGGAAAACTAAGAATGGTAGGTAGCTTCTAACTTGCCTGCCAAGTTAGGCTACTAAATTGCCTGGCTTTAAAACTTGAGGGATACTTTGTTTTCGGGGTTTTTTTGTTTGTTTGTTTGTTTTTTGTTTTGAGATGGAGTCTCGCTCTGTCACCCAGGCTGGAGTGCAGTGGCGTGATATCAGCTCACTACAACCTCCACCTCCCGGGTTCAAGTGATTCCCCTGCCTCAGCCTCCTGAGTAGCTGGGATTACAGGCGCCTGCCACCACGCCCGGCTAATTTTTGTATTTTTAGTGGAGACGGGATTTCACCATGTTGATCAGGCTGGTCTCAAACTCCTGACCTCATGATCCACCCGCCTCGGCCTCCCAAAGTGCTGGGATTACAGGCGTGAGCCACCACGCCTTGCCCAGGATACTTCATTCATGTTACGATATAACATACTCTAAATGTAGTACAGTTGAATTGACTGTATATAACTAAATCTGTCTGGGATGTTTTTAAACACTTTCTGGAAAGTGTGTGCAATTGGTCTCAATTTTACAGAAAAAAAGATGTCAGAATAAGTCTTTAACAATTGTAAGTGGGTGCAACCTCCTCTGCACCTACCCTGCCTGATTGCAACTGATCCTTGATCTAACTAAGACCAAAGGTGGGACAAAAGGAGAGAAACCTATACCCATTTGCTCTGGAGGCACAACTGACAGAAGAGATTTTTCCACCTTGACTAGAGGCCTGGCTACTCCCTCTTTTTTAGCACAGGCTCTCCTTGAAGGTGCCACCCTCCCGTGGCTACAGCCCCTATTATGGTTGTCTTGGATCTCCTGACATCCAGGCTCAACCCACTCCAGTGCAATCAGGCTGGTAGATGAACAGTATGAGAGTTTCAACACAAGGAGTGAGAGTGAAAGGAGAGTCAAAACAAATCTGAGATTTCTAACTTGAGCAACTGGGTATGGGGCGATGCCAATAACAAAAATGGAGGAAGGAGGAAGAGGAGAGTTTTGAAATGAAAGAAAATGAATTCTGCTTTGGGAAAATTAATATCCAACTGGAAATGAAAGTCTGAAGCTCAGAACAATGCAGGAGTTATCTCGCTCCCCTAGGACAGGGGCCATGAGGGTGTCTTCTCTCTATCTTTACATTGTACACAGGGCCCACTATCTCAGAATATTTGTTGAAAGAGAAGGAGGGAGGGAGGGAAGTAGGAAGACCACTTTCGATTGCTTCAATTATCTATGACTATATCACAAGCAATCCCCAAACTGAGTGGACTGGAACAACAATGTATTATTTCTCATGATTCTAAGGACTAGAGGAGGGGTTCTGCTTCATATTGTGATCACCAGGGCACTAGGATAGCTGGGACATCCAAAATGGCCTCGTTCATGTGCCTGGCAAAGGGTACAGATGCCAGCTGGGGGCCCAATGGGCCTGTCAGCTGGGAGACTACATTTCTCCCCCATGGGCCTTTCTATGTGGCAGCTTGGACATCTCCACATCTGGCAGCACAGTTCTAAGAAACAGTCTCCCAGCCAGGACAACATAGCAAGATCCCTTGTCTCTACAAAAAATTTCTAAAAATTAGCAAGGCGTAGTGGCACAGGCCTGTAGTCCCAGCTATTCGGGAGGCTGAGGAAGGAGAATCACTTGAGCCCAGGAAGTCGAGGCTGCAGTGAGCTAGGATCACACCACTGCACCCCAGCCTGGGTGACACAGTGAGACCCTGTCTCAAAATAAATAAATAAAAGTCTTCTAAGGGAATAAATCCAAAAGTGCAAGTGCTTACTGTGCTTCCTCTCACATTTTCTGCTAATGTACTATTGTCCAAGCTAGTTAAATGGCCATGCTGCAATCAGAGTGAGAGGGAAGTACACAAGGGCATGAATATCAGGAAGCATGGTTCACTGGGGGCCACCAAGACAACTCTTAGCTCACCTTCCAAAGGAATTAAGAGCTCTCCTCTGCCCATTAATAGCACATCCAGTCTTTTTTAAAAAGGGCCTCAGGCTGGGTGCAGTGGCTCATGCCTGTAATCCCAGCACTTTGGGAGACCAAGGCGGGAGGATCACTTGAGGTTGGGAGTTTGAGACCAGCCTGTCCAACATGGTGAAACCCCATCTCTACAAAAAATACAAAAATTAGCCAGACGTGGTAGTGCATGCCTGTAATCCCAGCTACTCAGGAGGCTGAAGCAGGTGAATCGCTTGAACCCGAGAGGCAGTGGTTGCAGTGAGCTGAGATCACCCCACTGCATTCCAGCCTGGGTGACAGAGTGAGACCCCATCTCAAAAATAAATAAATAAATAGGGGTTCAAAATCTGATCCAACCTCATCACTCACTTTCCCACATGAGCTCCTGGATGGACTAGACTTCTTAGAATCCTGGACTCTGTGACTGGAAAGAATCCCTAAATTTTCCCTGTGCATTCACACACACACCAGTCTCAGTCCCACCTTTGCTACTTTTCTCAGATCCTTCTTCTTAAGCCTTTAAGACCCGGCTTTTTGTTTCTTTGTATCCTCCTCTGAGATCAAAACCTTTAACTACCTTGCTCTTTAAAGAGGCTTATCATGACTTCACACAAAATGTATTTTGTACTTAAGGACTAAATAAAAGAAATTAAGAGTTATTGAAAGGCAAGTTGTTATGTAGCGGGCTCTGGAAACAGACAGACCTAGGATTGAGTCCTGGCTCTGCCACTTAACCAGCCACGTGACTCTGCACTAACATTGTGTTCTTGTCATTTTCCTGAGCCTCAATTTCCTCATGTGTAAAACGAGGGTTTTAAGAGTAGTTACTTCGAGGCTGGGTCTGGTGGCTCACACCTGTAATCCCAACACTTTGGGAGGCCGAGTGGGGAGGATAGTTTGAGTTCAGAAGTTTAAGACCAGTCTGGACAATATAGCAAAACCCCATCTCTACAAAAAATATATACAAAAACTAGCCAGGCATGGTGGCACCCACCTGTAGTCTTAGCTACTCAGGAGGCTGGGGTGGGAGGATGGCTTGAGCCCTGGGAGGTCAAAACTGCAGTGAGCCTTGATCACACCACATGCTCCAGCCTGGGCAACAGAGTGAGACCTTGTCTCAAAACAAAAACAAAAGAGTAGATACTTGAAATGATTATTGAAAGGACGGACTGTGATAACAAATGTCAAGTCTTTATCATGATGTCTGACATAGGCGAGCACCGAATACATGTTAGCTCTTAATATCCGAAGGAAATATGCACTGTGGAGTCAATCGCCTATGAACAAAGAGTTCACAATGGGACTGTCTCACTAACAGACCAAATTCTCAATGTAAAGAGACCTAAAAATAAGAGATGTGTATGTATGCGTGCATCTGTGTGTGTGTGCGTGTGTGTGTGTGTGTACTTGGAGGACCAGGTTAGGATTGAATGGTTCAACAAATAGAAAGTTCAGGTGCAGAACAGGCTGAAATAGTGCTCAAACGACCTCGTCAATACTCGGGTTTTGTTGGTTTGTGTTTGTCTTTGTTGTTTTCTCTTGTTTCTGTCTTTTGGTTCCGCTCTGCTTTGCTCATGGGTGGTCCCCCAGGAGGCTCCCCATAGCAGCAAGCCAGTCTTAGTAGTATTGTTTTTATGCTCCCTTATTTGTTTTTGTTGTTTGTTTGTTTGTTTGTTTGTCTTTTGAGATGGACTCTCACTCTATCGCCCAGGCTGGAGTGCAATGGCACGATCTTGGCTCACTGCAACTTCTGCCTCCCAGGTTCAAGCAATTCTCCTGCCTCAGCCTCCCAAGTAGCTGAGACTACAGGTGCATGCCACCACATCCGGCTAATTTTTGTGTTCTTAGTAGAGACGGGGTGTCACTGTTGGCCCGGCTGGTCTCAAACTCCCAACCTTAGGTGATCCACCTGCCTTGGCCTCCCAAAGTGCTAGGATTACAGACGTGAGCCACCACACCCGGCCAATGCCCCTTTATTTGTAAATCCTTTGAGGAAACAGTGTGAGTTTCTCAGAAGTCTCAGCCAGAGAATTATTGCATCAAGATGGCTATGTTTGGAACACAAGCCCATCACTGAGCCAGTCATTGTAGCCAGGGAAATTTTCTGATGAGGCCTGTGTGGAACAGCGCCTGAATCATGTTCTGAGCACACAAGATGAGAATGAGAGAATGTGATGGCCAGGAAAGAATCAGGCGACTACTACCAGAAGAATAATGCTTGAGTGGAGGTGAAATAACATGCTCCCCAACACTGTCTACAGTGTTCTCTAAGTAATTGCTTTTTTCTGTGAGTAATTCCTAAGTTTTCACTACTAGGAATAGTACTAATTAGTTCTATAATTCATTTACTCTTTTGTGTAAAATGAATTATGCACTAAAGAGTAATAATGCAAATTATTATATAAATAACACTATTATTATTTCTAATAGTGAAAACTTTGAAATTCCTCACAAAAGAGTAAAATGAATTATAGAATATGAATGTAATACAAAAAGAATAATTCTAAATAAAAATTTGAATTAATTGGGAAAATTAACACTATGCTAAGAGAAAGAAGCCAGAATATTAATACAAACACACATACACACGCATACACACACACACTACTGTCCTTAAATGCTAACAGTGAACAGAAACTATTGTGACAGTACCAGAAACTGTCTAGCCTGGTTGAACTAGAGAAGAGAGGAAAAGAAGAAAGCTACAAGAAAAAACATAAGAACACTGTTAATCACACCAGAAAAAAACACAGGGGCTGTTTAAAGGGAAGTAAGTCTTCTTTTGCCTATTTTTTTTTCTTTTTTCTTTTTTTTTTTTAAGAGACAGAGTCTAACAATGTTGGCCAGGCTGGTCTTGAACTCCTGGCCTCAAGCAATCCTCCCCTCCTGCCTCAGCCTCCTGAGTGGCTGGGATTACAGGCGGGAGTCACCACGCCCAGCTTGCCCGTCTATTAATATATTTTTAATGTTGTCATAGTCAAAGAAGACATGCCCTAAGCCTGTGTCGGCTTCTTTTTCCCTCATCTTCCAATAGGGAATGCATGGAAGACATCAAATTCCTGTCTCAGAAATAGCCTTCAGGTTGTTTTTGTTTTTTGGGTTTCTTTTAGTTTTAAATTTATGTGTACATGTGGTGAGGACACTTAAGATCTACTCTCAGCAAATTTCAAGTTTATAATACATTATTATTAACTATAGTCACCATGCTGCACATTAGATCTCCAGAATTCAGGGTTTTTTTGTAGGGTTTTTTTGAGACAGAGTCTTGCTGTGTCACCCAGGCTGGGATGCAGTGGTGCCATCACAGCCCACTGCATCCTGGACCTCCTGTGCTCAAGCGATCCTCCTGCCTCAGCCTCCCAAAGTGCTGAGATTATAGGCACGAGCCACCACACCCAACCTGAATTCAGGGGTTATTTTAAAAAGAAAATTGTTACATCAAAACAACAAGTTGCACACCTTAACTATACCATTTTTTAAATCAAAAGTGTCTCTATTTGAAGATTGCAAAATTATTATTTAGAAATGCTAAGAAAAACACACCAAATCTCTTATATTTAATAACTGAGTTTAAAAAGGTTACAGGACAATAAGTCAAATATCAATTTTAATTGTATTTATGAGCAGTAAGCAATGAAATAAATTTAAAAATTATAATAACATCAAAAACATAAAATATATAAGTTCTTTTTTTTTTTTTTTTAGTAACTTCACCTTTTGTTTTCAATTCAAGGGGTACATGTTCAGGTTTGGTACCTGGGTATATTGTGTGATGCTGAGGTTTGGGGAATGAATGATCCTATCACCCAGGGAGTGGGCATAGTACCCAAGTGAGTTTTTCAACCCTTCTCCACCTCCTTCCCCTCCCCCTCTAGCAGTCCCCGGTGTCTATTGCTGCCATCTTTATGTCCATGAATGGCCAATGTTTAGTTCCCACTTACAAATGAGAACATGCGGTATTTGGTTTTCTGTTCCTGCGTTAATTTGCTTAGAATAATGGCCTCCAGCTGCATCACGTTGCTGCAAAGGACGTAATTTTGTTCTTTTTATGATTGCATAGATACAATTTTTACTTGTCAATTGTACCTCCAAAAGCTGGTAAAATGGGAGCGTATATGCCGTTTCTACAGGAAGTTCAACACTATACATTGACGTGTGAAGCAATAAAGACATAGAAAGGTTAACAAAGAATTAAGGATGCCGCCTAGATCTGTGTTCACCATCCTTGCCCTTCTGAAACATTTAAGGACTCCTCCTCACACTCACACGCTAACGCTAATTATCTTTTTTTTTTTTTTTTTTTTTTTTTTTTTTTTTTTTTTGAGACTAGGTTTTGCTCTATTGCCCAGGCTGGAGTGCAGCAGTGCTATCACAGCACAGCTCACTGCAGCTTTGAAGTTCTCGGCTTAAAGAAACCTCCTGCCTCAGTCCCCTGAGTAGCTGGGACTACAGGCACACGCCACCATGGTGGGCTAATTTATTTATTTATTTTTTTATCTGTAGAGACAGACTCTTGCTATTTTTATTTTTTGTAGAGACAGTCTTGAACTCCTAGCCCTCAAGGGATCCTCCTACCTCAGACTCCCAAAGGGCTGAGATTATAGGCCTCACACATGAATTATATATTGATGTGAAAACATATTGAGAAGAACTTGTGACTTCAGTACTGCTTTGGTAGCCTGTATTTTATTAATCACATCCACAGTCTTTATTCTTCTTCTTTTTTTTTTTTTTTTTTTTTTTTTTGAGATGGCGTCTGACTGTGTCACCCAGGCTGGAGTGCAGTGGCACGATCTTGCTCACTGAAACCTCTGCCTCCCGGGTTCAAGTGATTCTCCCGCCTCAGCCACCCGAGTAGCTGGGATTACAGGTGCACGCCATCGTGCCTGGCTAATGTTTGAGTTTTTTTGTAGAGACGGGGTTTCACCATGTTGGTCAGTCTGGTCTCAAACTCCTGAACTCAGGTGATCCACCCGCCTCGGCTTCCCAAAATGCTGGGATTACAGGCGTGAGCCACTGCACCTAGACGATATTGTCTTTTTTTTTTTTTTTTTTTTTTTAGACGGAGTCTCGCTGTCTCGCAGGCTGGAGTGCAGTGGCACGATCTCGGCTCACTGCAAGCTCCACCTCCCGGGTTCACACCATTCTCCCGCCTCAGCCTCCCGAGTAGCTGGGACTGCAGGCGCCCGCCACCACGCTCGGCTAATTTTTTATATTTTCAGTAGAGACGGGGTTTCACTGTGTTAGCCAGGATGGTCTTGATCTCCTGACCTCGTGATCCGCCCGCCTCGGCCTCCCAAAGTGCTGGAATTACAGGCGTGAGCCACCGCGCCCAGCCGATGTTGTCAGTTTTTAACAAACTCCCCCAGGATCTACGCCTTCTTATGTTCTCCCTTTTATCTTTTTCATCCCGACCAAGGTGAAAACCAAGCAACCTCCAAACCCCATTGGCATTGGTGCTCATGAGCCAATAAGAAAACATTTTCAAGAATGGGGATGGAGATAGGTCTAGTCCTTCTCTGGCCACACTGCTTTTTTAATAGTGGCATTCTAAAGGCAAGGCTTTCCCCTTCCTGACTTCTTTTGTGTAGAAACCCAAGTGATGACTTTTACGGTAGATATTTCAAACCAAGTGAAAAAGAGATTGTGACATTGAAGATGATGTCATCTTAGACTCCTGACAGACAGTAGATCTTCCACCAGGAATTCAGCCACCAGTGAGACTCCTGTCAGCCAGCAGGCCTTCCTTTTAGAGATTTATTGAATGTGTTTGTGGTTTTGGGTTTGTTTGTTTGTTTCTCCCAGCAATTTCCTTGGATGAATTTCCTTGAGACAGCCCCAAGTCCCCGCCATGTATGCCTGCTGGCTCTGAATCCCATTTAAACCAATATCAAGACCAACCTTCTTTCTTGAGTTGAATTGAGATTTTTTTAATCCCCTAGGGGTAGTGTGATACTTAACATATTGTCCAGATCAGAATATGCTGGGACAAGAGGCATAAACCAGGCCTTTTCTGAGCAAATAAGGACATATGATCACTAACTGTAGGCCCTACCACAGAGCCTTGCCCATAATAGATGCTCAGTAAGTATGACATCACTGATTGGGCCTATATGCATTGTGTTATTTTCCTGATGTTCAGTGAATGCCACAGTGCACTTTAAAGTTCCTTTGTTGTTGTCGTTGTTTTGTTTTGCTTTCTTCTGTTTCGTAACTCCAGTTACACGCAGCCAGATATGATAGCAGGTTCTTTCTTGACCAATCTTAAACTGCCCCCACCAAACCTTTTTCCAAAAAGATACCTTTCTTTAAATACATCACCATCTGTGATGTTAAACTACAAGAATGCATTCATCCAGTCGATCATCATATAGTCAGCACTTATCATACACCAAGCCGTGTGCAAGGAAAGGGAATACAACCATGAACATGATAGATGGATGGTTAGTCCCTGTCCTCCCAGAACTTGCAGTGCAGGTCTGCTGTAGGGAACACATAGGTAAGTAGGTGATTACAATAGAGTGTAGGAATTGCTCAGATGGTAAACCATAGTGGACAATGCGATGTCCCAAAACTCTTTTTCCCAAGTTCCACACACACACACACCTACCACCTTGAGCCGGAAATGTCAGCATTGTCCATTACTGTCACTCTTCCTCACTCTATTCTCATCACAAAGTCCAATGTGGCACTAAGTTCATTCAATTCTACCTCCTAAATATTTCTCAAATCTCTTCACTTGACTTCTTCCTACTGTATTTTTCCCCATGAAAGGAATTTAGCTATTAAGCATCCCCAGACTTCTAAAATCTGATTGTAGGAGTATTACAGTAATCCACGCCCAAGATGGTATCCAGAATAGGGAAGTAGCAATGAGGATGAAGAGAAGTGAATAGACCCATAGAATGTTTAGGAAGCAGAATTGATTGACCATAATTATTAATTGAAAGGGATGGTGGGAAATAGAGACAGAGGGTGAGGATGATGCCCAGATTTCCAGCTTGAATTCCTCAGTGGGTAGTGACGAATACAGAAGAAAATATGATCCTGAAAAAAAAACAAAATGAATGTAATGAATTCAAGCTTTTGAACATATTGTGTATTTTAATGCCTTTGGTCATTCAAGTGGAGAAGGCCTACACTGGTCTAGTTCTCAAGAGAAAGATATCATTTGTAACTAGATTTTATTGAAGGCATAGAAATGGATGTCAAGGGAGTGAGTTGAGTAAAAAAAAAACAAAAAACAACAGCATTAGAATGAATCACAAAGAAAACCAACACTAAAGAAAAATCACAAAAAAAGACTAAGAAGTAGAGTAGATTCTCAGGAAAACCAAATGAAGCATTTCCAGAAGAAGAAAGTGGTCAACAGTGTCAACATTGCCAAGAAATCAAATAATGTAAGAGCAGAAAAGTGAACACTAGAGTCAGCAATGTTCATTATCTGAGATTGATTTTTCAAAATCAAATGATGGCAGGCCTATTAGGTCCAGAGCCTTCTTTGAAGGACATAGAGATTTGCAGCTCAGAGTCCCTGCTTATCAGGAACTAATCATCTAGTTTACATGCAAAACCACAGAAACAGAGGAAATTGTGGAAACTCTCCCTCCTTCCTCCTTGATTAAAAAAAAATTATATAAATTCTACAGTGTGTGAGCCTAATAAATGGTACAAATATCTCAAGTTCTCTAGAATTAATACTATAGATCAGGAAAGTCATTCCTTTTCTGGAATCTACATTTTAAAATTATTAACACTCTGGAGTATTTCCAGTTAACATGGTCAAGTTAGAGAATAATTTACCATGTTAATATAAGAAGTAATTTAAGAATCTGGGTTGTATGTGGGTTAGTCAAGATAGCTATGATAGTATACATCAAATATTTGAGGAGCTTTGGTATAGAAAGATGATATTTCTTTTGTATTGTTCCTGAGGACAGACCAAAAACAAAGGGGCAGAAATTATCTGGGAGAGAGAGAAAACAAAGGAATGGGTTGGGGCCAGAGAAGGAAAGAAATTCTTATCAATAATAGCTGTCTAAAAATGCAGTGAGTTACCATGTGTGTTTTCCAACTTGGAAACCACTGGGCCACTGAGGAGAGAACCCCCTGGCGCCCGGCAGCCACTATGACCAGGCCCTTGTGGTCTGGGCCCTTCAGCACTTTGGCCTTACACCCTTCCCCATAACCTTGTCCTGCCCCAATCTCATGGACAGCCTGTGCAAGGGGGCTGGGCTTCATCAGGGGGTACAGCGTGGAGGAAGAGGCTTTTTGTAAAAGAAATTTCTGCACTTTGAAACTGTCCTCTAAGAGAATAAGCACTTCCTGTTCTTCCAGGTCCAGGTCCACCTCCTGTCCTGTGCCAGCGCCTGGGTGCCTCCCGTCCTTACCCCTCTCAACGTTTCTACCATCCAGCGTTGAGTGTGTATGTGTGTGTGTAACTCATAAATATACTCATAAGGGACACCTTAAAAAAAAAAAAGGAGAGGTCAAAGCAGAGGTTGAAGGGTAAGCGGCAGGGTGAAAAGTTGGGCTTGGGATCCTGCAAGATGCCTTCTAACCGCAAGATTCTGTGATTCCAGTTTAAAATGGTCCCTTTCTTCCAACATGGTCAAAAAAGTCTTGAAGAAGGGTTGGCCGGGCCTGGTGGCTCACGTCTGTAATCCCAGCACTTTGAAAGGCCAAAGCAGGCTGATCACTTGAGGTCAGGAGTTCAAGACCAGCCTGGCCAACATAGTGAAACCCCATCTCTAGTAAAAATACAAAAATTAGCTAGGCATGGTGGCACGTGCCTGTAATCCCAGCTACTCGAGAAACTGAGGCACGAGAATCACTTGAACCCAGGAGGCAGAGGTTGCAGTGAGCCAAGATCACGCCACTGCTCTCCAGCCTGGGCGACAGAGCAAGACTCCGTCTCAAAAAAAAAAAAAAAGAAGAAGGGTGATGTCCAATCTAGCCTTGGAAAATGATGAGGATTTTGATGGGTGAACAAGAGGAGGAAGGGCATTTTATGTAAGAGGATAATAGGCCTGTCTTGCCAGAGCTGACTGTTCACTAGAGGCTGGAAATTCATCAGAACCACACTGACAAAAGCTTTCTTTTGTTTTCTTTTTTCTGTTTTTTTGTTTGTTTGTTTGTTTGTTTGTGATGGAGTGTCACTCTGTCGCCCAAGCTGGAGTGCAGTAGTATGATCTCGGCTCACTGCAACCTCCACCTCCCAGGTTCAAGCGATTCTCCTGCGTCAGCCTTCCAAGCAGCTGGAATTACAGGCATGCGCCACCATGCCCAGCTAATTTTTGTATTTTTAGTAGAGATGGGGTTTCACCATGTTGGCCAGGCTAGTCTCAAACTCCTGACCTCAAGTGATCCTCCTGCTTTGGCCTCCCAAAGTGGTGGGATTACAGGCGTAAGCCACCATGCCCAGCCGACAAAACTTTCAATGCCTGGATGAGAAATCTCAGCAAAATCTTTTAGGTGACAAGGAGTTATTGAAGACATTTGTGGAAGAAAATGTTAATACAATTCAATTATGCAGAGTTTCAAGGAAGATTGTTCTGGCATGTACATGGGAGGGACTAGCAATAAGTGAGACTGAAAAATAGCAGGGGATTATTAGGAGGGATAAGAAGATAAGACTGGCTGGGTGTGGTGGCTCACACCTGTAATCCCAGCACTTTGGGAGGCTGAGGCGAGTAGATCACCTGAGGTCGGGAGTTCAAGACCAGCCTGACCAACATGGAGAAACCCTGTCTCTACTAAAAACACAAAATTAGCCAGGCATAGTGGCGCATGCCTGTAATCCCAGCTACTCAGGAGACTGAGGCAGGAGAATTGCTTGAACCCAGGAGGCGGAGGTTGCAGTGAGCAGAGATCGCACCGTTGCACTACAGCCTGGGCAACAAGAGCAAAACTCCATCTCAAAAAAAAAAAAGAAAGAAAAGAAAAGAAGACCTCAAACTCAGGGAACGGGGAAAAATGAATAAAGCTTAAAATGAGGAAAACTTTGGGAAAGAGGAATCCACAGCACTCGGTGACTGGTTATATTGGGAAAGAGGCAGAGGGAAAAATCAGATGAGTGAATGAATGAAAAGATTTGAGTCCGAGTAAAAGGGACAGAGAGAGAAGTGCCATTAAAACAACAAGGTCGGGAGTCTAACCTGAGAGGCAAGTCATGCCCCTCGATGTGGGAAGCCAGGCTAAGGAGAACCCTGGCCAAGACACTGTCTCGGAGTCGCATAGTGTCTCACTAGCATCCAGTGGAATATTACCAGCTGCTATCTCGGAGGAAATTGGGCTCCTTGCTTTTCTAAATGAGCCAAGCTGTTGTGTTGGCAACCAACACACATGACAGGCACTTAGCCAAGCAGAAAGCAACAGGTTTAAAACATGTGAGTGTGTAGATAAACCATCTCCAGCCCTTAAATCCCTGCTAAAGGGAATTCACAGAGCCAGATGAAAAAGAAAACTCCCCATACTCCTAATGCTGTCTGATAGAAAAACATGTATAAATCTATGATGAGATTTACTTTCTGGCTGAGAAATAGGGCAGAGAGGAATACTTTAAAGCAAAGGCATTTTTTTTTTTTGAGGTAATACTTGAGATAATATTAGGGGAAAAACTCTTCAACAACTTAAGCCCAGGCTATGTAGAAAAAGTAAATATAGATGCAGAGCAGGTGAATTTGAACAATGTGGAGAACTAGACTGGATCATTCAAGCTCCTAAAGCTGCTTTTTTCTCTACAGTGGTTAGTTTCATTTTGTTTCAATTTGTTTTTGCTTGGATTATCCGGACAATTGCCTCAACTCTCCATTTCACTCTGTTTCTATAGACATAGTCCTCTAAGTGTTCTATTTTTATCTTGCTTGAATAAGGAATGAATACAATGGAGCTCATTGAAATGAACCTCACTGAAAGGATTAAGCCAGTTGAAAGGATTTGTTTCCTGCACATCCTATATTTTCCATGATGCAGAAAAATGAGCAATTCTCTGCCCTTGGTCTGCCCTCTCCATTAACAATGCTTCCCTCCTCGGAGGCAAGGGTAAAGCAGAAAGCAACATTTGGACAAATATTCATGTCGATAAGAACAAAATGAAACAACAGCAGCCTGGGAAAGCATATCTAATTGACTAAGTCATGCAACCCCAGTCCCTGGCTCTCGAAGTTCCCTGGAAGGCTGAGCAGGGTTTCCCCTGCATGGTAGCTTTTCCTAAACAAATCTGAAAATCAATGATTCCCTTCAGTTCTCTGGGTCAACACAGACTACAGCCAGAGGTTCTGAGCTGGAGGTGTTTGTGTCGTGAGCTCTGGATACAAATGGAGGTCAGTGGCTAGAAATGGCTAGAAGCTTTGGGAGGCAGTTTTCTTCCTTAGCTGTCTTTTGGCCTGGTGACCTTCGGCTTTGGTTTTCCTCTCCTTACAAAACCCACTCTTCCTTTTAAATAAGCTTAAGACAACCCAGGTGCTTCTTAAATATTGTTTCACAGAAAAGAAGCATTTTTCTATTTATAGGAAGAGAAAAGGTGTTGTGAAAGGACTGAACAGCTTCCAGCTGCTGTTGAGGAAGGGAGGCAAGGTGCAGGATGGGGACTTCCCCCCTCCAGACTCTCGTCCCTGGGACTGGACTCCTCCATGGAGCTGAAAATTCCAACTCAGAGAGAATGCTCTGTCCCTGCCTTACTGCCAGAGTGTGAACTGAGACTAAACACACACGAATCACTTTAAGATCTTGGAATCCCTGTTACTTAAAGATGGGAGAGACTGAGGCACTCTGGGTTTATGACCTCCCAGCTAAAAGACTTTCTGCCACAGATTTTATATCCAGCAGCCATTTCAGAATGGTTTAAAGCAGGCAATATGGTTGGGAGGTCAGGCACATGGCTTGTCCCAAAGCTGAGTTTTCACAGCAATCACACTGTTTTTATTTAGATTGGATTTTACAATCAACAAAACTTGCAAAAATCCCTAAAGATGCCTTTACTTAAAATTCATATAAGAGAATACTGCCGGGCACAGTGGCTCATGCCTGTATTCCCAATATTTTGGGAGGCCAAGGCAGGAGGATTGCTTGAGGCCAGGAGTTCAAGACCAGCCTGTCAAACATAGTAAGACCCCATCTCTATTTTAAAAAAGAAAAAAAGGCCAGGCACAGTGGCTCATGCCTGTAATCCCAGCACATTGGGAGGCCAAAGCGGGCAGATCACCTGAGGTCAGGAGTTCAAAACCAGCGTGACCAATATGATGAAACTCTGTCTTTACTAAAAATACAAAAATTAGCCTAGTGTAGTGGCATGTGCCTGTAATCCCAGCTACTCGAGAGGCTGAGACAGGAGAATAGCTTGAACCTGGGAGGCAGAGGTTGCAGTGAGCCAAGATTGAGCCATTGCATTCCAACCTGAGCAACAAGAGCAAAACTCCATCTCCAAAAAAAAAAAAAGGCCACATACAGTGGCTCATGCCTATTATCCCAGCACTTTGGGAGGCCAAGGCAGGAGGATCGATTGAGCCCAGGAGTTCAAGACCAGCCTGGGCATCATAGTGAGACACAGTCTCATTTAAAAAAAAAAAAAAAGAAAGAAAGAAAGAAAAAGAAAAAAAAGATCAAGAATATACCAATAGTCCATATTAGTAATTATGATGATTGTTGTTATTGTTATGACTACTATGGGGAGGGGGGTTACAAAGCTGACTGAGTACGGGTTAAAGCCTTCCCAAGCCACAGGTTATTACCCAAAAATAGAACATAAAGAAAAATCCTTATGAAATGGTGCCCAGATTCCATTTAAAGACGTGTAGGCCAGGTGCTGTGGCTCACGCCTGTAAATCCTAGCACTTTGGGAGGCCAAGGCAGGTGTATCACTCACGATCAGGAGTCTGAGACCAGCCTGGACAACATGGTGAAGCCCGTTTCCACTAAAAATACAAAAATTAGCCAGGCTTGGTGGTGCACACCTGTAATTCCAACTACTCAAGAGGCTGAGGTAGGAGAATTACTTGAACCCAAGAGGCAGAGGTTGCAATGAGCCGAGATCGCACCACTGCACTCCAGCCTGGACGACAGAACGAGATTCCGTCTCAAAAAAAAAAAAAAAAAGAATAAAAGAAAGACAGGTAAACCTCAGAGAAATGACTGGGCTGGGAAGGAAGCAGCCTATTTATGACAGCCACGCACTTTACAAAAGCTCTCAGTGGGGGACGACAAGGCAAGCAAAGAAAGAACTTTCTTAAGTAAATATGAAATCAATTAAAGGAACAGATCCCTGGAAATAAATCATTTACAGAAACAGGTCCCACCTGTGGTTTCTAACACAAAATACACTGAATGCTCTACCTCAAGTCACTAAATGAAAACGGATTCCAAAGTAATTCAGTCTCTATACATGGTGAGTAAGAGGCGAGCTGCTAAAGCAAACCCTGCAAAACAAAGGTTTTCAAGATATCAAATCCATAGCCTTTCTTATCACAAAAGAGGTGAATGAATATGATGGTATTCTTACAGCATGTTTGCCATAGCATTTGTCAGGGAGTTATCCTGTGCAAAGGTAAGGTTTGGTATGCAGTGTCATTATTTTCCCACCTACTTCTGTCACAAGGTCTACTTAAAGGGCAGTTTCTTTCCTTAGTTCTTTAAATGCTTCCAAAAAGATATCTTAAGGTCAAGAAACTCCAGCAATGTGCAAATATCTTTCGGGAGTCGTCGATTTCCCCCTAGTACCATTAGGGGAAATGTTATTGTAGGCAGTCTACAGCAAGTTAATGGAGGGTCAAGTTTCTGTTTACTTTGGGACAGTATTAGTAATCGGAACCAGGAGGAAGGAGGCCTGGCGGCACAGGAGCACAGCATTCTTGGTCAGGCTGCCTTCGTTTGCTAGTTCGGATTCCAGAGTATGTTGAAATGATATTTCACATTCAATATTTGGAGAAAAAAACATATATATATATATTTACATACACACATACACACACACGCACATACACACACACATATATATAGTATCTATTTTGCTCTCCTTTCAAGACTTTTAGCCTTTCCACATTGGCAAAGGCTGGATTATAAGATTTGGATTCATTAGTGTTGCAACAACTCTGAGATTTGGTAGCTGAGGATTTTTTGTATTCTTTGCAAATTAGTCATAACGAGATGGGGTTTGATGACATTTTTCTCCTCAAACAGCCTCTTAGTAACCAAAGTTCAATAACAGATTAATACTCCTTTATCCAAACAAATTAAACAAATTCCGGAATATTTGGCTACATACTGGTACGTTCAACAAATATTTATTTGGTGCCGATCATGTACCTGGCACTAAGCAAGGCACTGAGGGGACAAAAGTGAACAAGACAAACTAGTGCTTATGAAGAGGCAGCAAGAGGAGTGTCTTTGCAGAGATGGAACAGTTCTATGTCCCAATTGCGGTGGATACATGAACCTGTACAAGGGGTACAAGATCGTAGAACCACACATATGTGCACACACACACTCACACATACACACAAGTGTATGTAAACTGGTGAAACATCAGAAAGGTCCTATAAGTCTAAACAATGGTATTATATCAATGTCGGTTTCTGAATTTTGATAATGTACAATAGTTATATAAAAATGTAATTCTTTTGAGAAACTAGATAAAGGGTACATAGAGGTATTTATATTATCATTTTAATTTCTTTTTTTTTTTTTTTTTGAGATAGAGTTTTGCTTTTGTCGCCCATGGCAATGTGCGACAAAGTGCAATGGCACAATCTCAGGTCACTGCAACCTCTGCCTCCTGGGTTCAAGCAATTCTTCTGCCTCAGCCTCCCGAGTAGCTGGGATTACAGGTACCGGCCACCATGCCTGGCTAATTTTTTGTATTTTTAGTACAGATGGGGTTTCACCATGTCGGCTAGGCTGGTCTTGAACTCCTGACCTCACTTCATCCACCTGCCTCAGTCTCCCAAAGTGCTGGGATTACAGGCGTGAGCCACCGCGCCCAGCCTATCATTTCAATTTCTTATGACCCTGAAGTTATTTCAAAATAAACTATTAATTTTTAAAAAGACTAGTCTTTGCTCTCACGGAGCTTGCATTCTAGTGGGAGAAACAGATAACTAACAAGTAGACAAAATAATCCCCAAATTACTTTATGTAGTGTGAAGAACATTGTTTAACAAGTGCCATGATATGAAATAATAAAAGATCCCATCCTTATCAAAGGACAATCAGAGAAGAGCTCTGTGAGGATAAGACATTCAAGCTGAGACCTAAAAAATAAGAAAGAGCCAGCCAGGCTTAGAGAGACGACCAGGAAACACAGAAGAACCTATCTAGTTTAAATCGTTAGAATGACCTTTGAAATTGTGACTTTATTAAGACAAAGTCTTGAAGGGTAGCCAGAGTTTGATGAGACGACCTTAGATTATTGGGAGGGTTGTGGTCCTAACAGAAAGCAAGAATATAAAAAGAATGCAAATACCTCTCGAGTACAATTGTCTTTAGCTCCAATAGAGTGCAGGACATTTAAGTGTCTTAAGAGTCAACAACATGCAAAATTCAATCAAGTGCTGAAAGCAGGTGGAGTAGATGGAAGAATTAGGAAACAGCTCTTGAAATCAGAGTTTAGGAATCTGAAACCACTCCTACTACAAATAGGATCACAGAGTCTCAGAGTCTTCAAGAGTGCATTTAGCCACACACATGCAGCTATGACTGTAGAGGAAAAAATATTTTGAGATATAATCTTGTCCACAGAGCATAAGCACCTTCCAGCCCTAAAAAAGTCTCCAATTATGTAGAGAAATGACCAAGCACAGTGGCTCATTCCTGTAATCGCAGCAATTTGGGAGGCTGAGGTGGGCCGATCGCTTGAGCCCAGAAGTTCAAGACCAGCCTGGGCAACATGGCAAAACCCATCTCTACTAAAAATACAAAAATTACCAGACATGTTCCTGTGTGCCTGTAGTCCCAGCTACTTGGGAGGCTGAGGTGGGATCACCTGAGCCTGGAGAGGCTGAGGCTGCAGTGAGCCATGTTCGTGCCACTGCCCTCCAGCCTGGGCACAGAATGAGATCCTGTCTCTAAATAAATAAATAAATAAATCATGCAACTGTAGCATTTAATAGGAAAATCACAAATATTAAATTATTTTTGTTTTTGTTTTTGTTGTTGTTTTGTTTTTTGAGATGGAGTCTCGATCAGCCACACAGGCTAGAGTGCAGTGGCACGACCTCGGCTCACTGCAACCACCGTCTCCTGGGTTCAAGCAATTCTCCAATCCCAGCCTCCAGAGTAGCTGGGATTACAGGCACCCGCCATCATGCCTGACTAATTTTTGTATTTTAGTAGAGATGGGGTTTCTTCATGTTGGCCAGGCTGGTCATGAACTCCTGACCTCAAGTGATCTGCCCACCTCAGCCTCCCAAATTGCTAGGATTACAGGCGTGAGCCACCATGCCCAGCCCAAATATTAAATTATAAATGCAGTTTTAAATGTTTAAAAGTCTTCATTTAACAAGCTTCATTTAAATTTCTATAAAAGTTATATAAGGCCGGGCACGGTGGCTCACGCCTGTAATCCCAGCACTTTGGGAAGCCAAGGCGGGCAGATCACCTGAGGTCAGGAGATCAAGACCAGCCTGGCCAACATGATGAAACCCCATCTCTACCAAAAATACAAAAATTAGCTGGGCATAGTGGCGGGCACCTGTAATCCCAGCTACTCAGGAGGCTGAGGCCGGAGAATCACTTGAACCTGGGAGGCAGAGGTTGCAGTGACCAGAGATTGTGCCACTGCACTCCAGCCTGGGCGACAAGAGTGAAACTCCGTCTCAAAAAATAATAATAATAAAATAAAGTGATATAAAATTTGCTAGTCTTTTAGTAGAATAAGATTTAGAAAGTTACATTAGCAAGGTGGCCAACCAGAAGCCATTAGTGCTTATTCCCATAGCAAAGCCAAAACAAAACAACAAATAAGTAACTATATTTTGATGAAAATAACTAAAGGAGAGTACCAGAGTATATCAAAGGAGTGGCAGAAACCCTGTAGAGCACAGAAACTCAGGATAGCCACATAAAGAATAGAAGGAAAGGCCGGGCGCCGTGGCTTATGCCTGTAATCCCAACACTTTGCGAGGCCAAGGCGGGCAGATCACCTGAGGTCAGGAGTTTGAGACCAGCCTGGCCAATATAGTGAAACCCTGTCTCTACTAAAAATACAAAAATTAGCCAGGCGTAGTGGCACACTGCTGCAGACCCAGCTACTCAGGAGGCTGAGACAGGAGAATCGCTTGAACCCGGGAGGCAGAGGTTGTAGTGAGCCAAGATTGCACCACTGCACTCCAGCCTGGGCAACAGAGTGAGACTCCATCTCAAAAAAAAAAAAAAAAAAAGAGTGGAAGGAAACATCCGACCTTCACCACCTCATCTACACCACTGCATCTACTTGAAACCAGAGCCACCACACCCTTCCTAACCAGTGCACTGTGACCCATCTGCAGATGAAAGTCTTTCTCTATGAAAGCCTTTCTCTATGAAAGCCACTCTGTAACATTTGGAAGATGTGATCCTTCCAGCAATGCATGGACATCAAAACAGGACATAAGAAACGTGAAAAAGCAAGGAAATATGATACCACCAAAGGAACATAAAAACTCTACAGTAATTGACCCCAAAGTAAAAGAAATTTATGAAGTGCTTGAAAAGAAATTCAAAATAATGATCTTAAGGAAATTCAGCAAGATACAAGAGAATACAGATAATTCAACAAAACCAGGAAAACAACTCATAATCTGAATGAGGAATTTAACAAAGAGATAGATATTATTATAAAAAGAACTGAACAGAAATCTTGGAGCTAAAGAATTCAATGAACAAATATAGGAAAACTTCAACAGCAGACTAGATTAAGCAGAAGAAAAAATCTCTGAACTTGAAGATACATCATTTGAAATTACCCAGTAGGAAAGGGAAAAAAAAAGAAAAAAGAATGACAAACAGTGAAGTCAGCCTATGGAACTTACAGGACACCATTAAGTGAGCAAGTATTTACATTATGGGACTTACAGGAGGAAATGAGATAAAGATAGGGACAGAATGCTTATTTAATGAAACGATTACAGAAGTTAAACTAAGCTTAAGGAAAAAACAGGTACTTATAATTAATAATTTAAATGTATAGTTTATAAATTTAATTTTAATATATTAGATATTAATTTTCATATATCTGGAGTAAACTCTGAATAATCTTTTCTCTGCATAAAAACCACCCTCAAAAACAAACTTTCATATTTAAAGCTTTAGTATAAAGATACTGAAAAGATTTCCACAGAGTAGCAGAGTAGCAGGCCCTATGAGCCCTGGAAAAAAGTTGTGATGTGGATCCTTTTGGAATAATAGAACCATCCAACTTTTTTCTATGTATCAAAGGGTGTTATTTGTCCTGAGGACATCTGAGGAGCTGAAATGCCAAATTCGAGGTGTTCTCTTTTAAAAAACAAACAAAAACTTCCATAACCAGAATTTTTCCAAAGTCATCACAATTTATTCCAAGCAAATGTTGTATACGTTTGCTTTATTATGTCTCTTCTTACATCAAAGTGTAAGTTTTTTTTTTTTTAACCTATCTGTTTTCCCACAAAACCATGAGCTCCTATTCATCTTTGTATCCCAGGGACTATGACACTGTGAGCATCTTAAAGTGAATAAAAAACTGCCACAGATGTCTCTCATGGACCTGAGATTAAGTCTAAGATTTCCTTTCCACCAGCCTCTTCAAAAACACAGACACCAACCCAGTTGGCTTCATGCCTTAGCTTCCTAGATTCATCCAATCTTATTTGGATCTCTGACCTGCTTTTATATTGTTTACACTGGCCCTGACCTGGCACTCACTGCCTTAGGACACAGTTTCTGGCATTTTCCCACTGACTCCACCCATCCCAACCGCAGAACCAAATCTGTCAAGGAAGAGCATCAGACAGTCAGAGATTGAAAGAATGTCTGGAAATAATAGTGGTTTAATAAGTATTTAAAGACTAAGGTCAGCTGAGTGTGGTGGCTCACACCTGTAATTCCAACATTTTGGGAGGCCAAGGTGGGAGGATTGCTTGAGCCCAGGAGTTTGAGAGCAGCCCAAGCAACATAGGAAGACCCTGTCTCTATAAAAAATAAAAATTGTCTGGGTGTGGTGACAAGCACCTATAGTCCTAGCTACTTGAGAGGCTGAGGCGAGAGGATTGCTTGAGTCCAGAAGTTTGAAGTTGTAGTGAGCTATGATCCCACCACTGCACTCCAGCCTGAGTGACAGTGAGACCCTGTCTCTAAAAATAATAATAATAATAATAACTAAAGTCATTAAATACTCATCTAACATTTCTGGAACACCTACCATGTCCAAGGTACTCTGCTGGGAAGGGGAATTTTTTTTTTTTTTTTTTTTTTTTTGAGACAGAGTCTCACACTGTCGCCTAGGCTGGAGTGCAGTGGCACAATCTCGGCTCACTGCAACCTCTGCCTCCAGAGTTCAAGCAATTCTCCTGCCTCAGCCTCCTGTGTAGCTGGGATTACAGGTGCCCACCACTACGCCTGGCTAATGTTTGTATTTTTAGTAGAGACGGGGTTTCACCATGTTGACCAGACTGATCTCAAACTCCAGACCTCAAGTGATCTGCCCGCCTCAGCCTCCCAAAGTGCTGGGATTACAGGCGTGAGCCACCGCGCCCAGACAGAAAAGGAATTAAAAAAAAATAGTAAGATGAAATTCCTACAATCAAGAAAATAGTGAACAATAGTAGTGCTCTTATAGGCCCGGTGTGGTGGCTCATGCCTGTAATCCCAGCACTTTGGGAGGCAGAGGCGAGCAGATCTCTTTCAGCCCAGAAGTTTGAGAACAGCCTGAGAAACATGGCAAAACCCCATCTCTACAAAACAAATAAAAAAACATAAAAAAGAAGTGCTGTTATAGAGATATATATGAAGTATCATAACGTCACATAACACATCCTGAATTGGGGGGAGAGCATAATACAGAAAACATTTCTCATGGACTGTAGCCTTAAGCTAAATTGCAGTGGCTAGATCCACATGGTTTTGTGACTGCTTCCATGTCAGGGAAGAAAAGAGGTCTACAATGACCTAGGGAATCGTGTTTGATGATGCCATCCACTGAGATTGGGAATATAGAAGGATGTGCTGCTGGTCTTCAGGCCATATTGATGAATTTAGTTTGGGACATGATGAGTTTGAGATGCATATGGGATAATCCAGTGGAGATGTTCAATATGTGATTGGCTAAAAGAGTCTACTGTTTAGAAAAACTCTATGGACTGGGGTTATATATTTGGGAGTCATCGGCATACACAGCCTTGAGAGTGAATAAACTGTCCCAGGAATAACATGAACAACGGGAAGAGAAGAAAGCAAGAGTGGTACTCGGGGGCCCATCCACACGGAAGGGCTAAGCAGAGGAAGAGGAAGTTAGTAGGGGACCAAGAAGAGCAACCAGAGATGGAAAAAAAAAAAATCAGAAGAATGCTGTGGTGGACACTGTTGGTTTCCTAACAAGTGTCAATTCCCTGCACTCCTTCACATAATTCCTACCCACATGAAGTCCATGGGCCTCTAAGGAAGTTGAATGTCTCTAGTTCCAAGAGGTGACCTGATTTGTCTAAAAATAATCCCACCCCCTTTGCTGGTGACTGCAAGGAGCTGGTGACCTCATGAGATTCAAGAAAAGTTTGACGGGGATTCAGACAAATTCTTCATTACTTTGTTGGAAGAACTCTTAGCAATTATACTTTTCCTTCTTCAGATGTCATCCTAGATAAATACGAAGCCTAGACTTGCTGCAGCTCTCTCTCCCTGCCAATCAGAGAAGAAAGCCATACGAAGGAAGAAAGCCAAAACTGGAGAATCCCAGACATCTGGAGCTGGAGCCAAGCCTGATGCTTGCTCTACCTCTAGATTTCTATTTACATGAATCTATGAAGTTCCTTATTGCTTAAACCAATTTGGGTCGAGTTTTCTGTTACTTTCGTCCAAACCAGAGCTAACTGATACAGTAGTGTCACTGAAACCAAAGGAGGTGAGAGCTCCTGCAGGAAGTGATCAAGAGTGTTGAGCGGTGCCTAGAGGCCAGGTGATGAAGGGCCTGAAATGCATCCAAAGAATGTAGTAAGCAGAAGGCCTTGAAGGAGCAGTTTCAGAAGTGGAGGCTGTGGTGGGGTAGGGCCCACATAGCAGCGGGTGGAGAACTGAATGGGAAGTGAGCACTTAGCAATTTCTCTTTAGCAAAGCTTGACTGCAATGTGAAGAAAAGGAAGAAACCATAGCTATAAAGGAATATCATGTCAAGCAAGATTTTTGTTTGTTTATTTGGGAAATGAGAGCTAGTCAACACGTGGATCTCCAAGTTTCTTGCCATTACCATATTCTCTCCTTCCCCTCAAGTTCATGGGGAATCTCAGAGAAGAGAAAAGTTTACTTCTCACCCTAGATTCAGCTGGAAAACTTTGGAAAAGTCAAAAGTAGCACCTCCACATTTCATATTTCAATCTTTGCAGTCAATACCCAAGACCCCAAATACGAAGAACGAGTCTCCTAAGGCAATTCACTAGAAGAAAAGAAAGCAATTGAAGAAGCATGTATAAGAAAGTTCATGATAACATATTTTGTAGCTGAAATCTTGGAGGAGTTTCTAAATGATTTATTAATAGAGATATGATAAAACCAAAAAAAAGTGCAGTAGATAGTATTTTATTGATTACTTAATTTGCAGCATTTAAAATGAATGAGCAGCAGCCTGGGCAACAAAGAAAGACCCCATGTCTACAAAAAATACATGAGTGTAGTGGTGCATGCCTGTAGTCCCAGCTACTTGCGAGGCTAAGGCAGGAGGATTGCCCGAGCTTGGAAGGTTGAGGCTGCAGTGAGCCAAGGTCATGCCACTGCACTCCAGTCTGGGCAACAAATAGTGAGAGACCCTGTCTCAAAAAAAAAAAAAGGGATTAGCTGGATTTCTGTACACTGTTATGGAAAAAAACAAGTGAAAGCATTAAGTTATAGAAAAAATATGTGTGATATAATCCCATATATGAAATTCAAAAGATAGAATTGTTTGTACTTACACAGAGAGAAAATAGAAAATAGATCAGGAATGTAGAACAAAGTATTATCAGTGGTTACTTCTGGTGAGGAAAGTAGCATTTGAGGTACAGGGCAGAGAGTGAATTTTAGGAGGCAATTCCATAGGTGTCATATATTTTTTGTAAGTTAAATTTTTACAAAAAGTATTTTTAGTTATTTTTTACATGAAAAATGAAAAATAATTGCATGAAGAAAACTGAAGCAGTTGGAAAGCAGAAACTAAAGTTGTACCAACCAGGATCACATTCCTTTTCTTTTTTTTTTTTTTGAGGCTGAGTCTTGCTCTGTTGCCCAGGCTGGAGTGCAGTGGCATGATCTCCGCTCACTCGATCATCTGCCCCCCAGGTTCAAGCAATTTGGGAGTTTCTTTTTTTTTTCCAGAGTTCAAGTGATTCTCCTGCCTTAGCCTCCCAAGTAGCTGGGATTACAGGCACATGCCACCACACCCAGCTAGTATTTTATAATTTTGGTAGAGATGGGGTTTCATCAGGTTAGCCAGGCTGGTCTCGAACTCCTCCCCTCAAGTGATCTGCCCGCCTCAGTCTCCCAAAGTGCTGGGATTACAGGTATGAACCACCATGCCCAGCCACATTCTTCTTTAACAGTAAAAAAGTAAAGACTACAAAATTGATAATTTTTAATGTCTTTATTTTATGTTACTAATGCCAAAAAGGTACAGTTTTGTATGGTATTTTTCGGAACATTTTTAAATTAATTACTTGTTCGATATATGTAAAACTATTGGCATCAAGTTGAGTTTATATAAAGTAATTCCATACTCACCATCTGGTTAAATATGGCATCATTTATTTTCAAATGGTAAGGCCGCTCAAATGAAACTGGTTGCTGTTTCATAAAGTCTTATTCAAGGCGGGGCGCGGTGGCTCACCCTGTAATCCCACCACTTTGGGAAGCCGAGGCAGGCTGGTCACGAGGTCAGGAGTTCGAGACCAGCCTGGCCAACATGGTGAAACCCTGTCTCTACTAAAAATACAAAAATTAGCCAGGCACGGTGGCTCATGCCTGTAATCCCAGTTACTTGGGAGGCTGAGGCAGGAGAATCGCTTGAACCCAGGAGGCAGAGGTCGCAGTGAGCCGAGATCACGCCATTGCACTCCAGCCTGGGTGACAGAGCAAGACTCCATCTCAAAGAACAAGAAAAGAGTCTTATCTGAGCACTTTGGCATTTGTGAAATATATAATGTGAGGCTGGCTGGGGGACCAAGAGCCTCAACCTGGTCCTGAAATGAATCTATCTCATCAGTAGGTCAAATGATTCAGCTGCATTCTCCTATAACTTGGTCATTCACGCAGGAAGTAAGAGTAAGTCAAAATGTGAGTAGGACTTTCTGTGGGTTTGTTTTTTTTTTTTTTTGGTGGGGGGTGGTGGAGCGGGGGGAACAGGGTCTCACTGTGTTACCCAGGCTGGTCTGGAACTACTAGGCTGAAGCAGTCCTCCCATCTCTGCTTCACAAGTAGCTGGGATTACAGGTGCTCCACTATATCTGGATCTGTGATTTCTGAATCAAACATTGTCCAAATAGGCTGCACATTGTGGCTAATGCCTGTAATCCCAACACTTTGGGAGGCTGAGGTAGGAGGACTGCTTGAGGCCAGGCATTCAAGACCAGCCTGGGCGACAAAGAGAGGCCCCATCTCTAAAAAAAATTTTAAAAATTGGCTAGGCATAGTGACTCATGCCTGTAATCCCATCACTTTGGGAGGCTGAGGTGGGTGGATCACCTGAGGTCGGGAGTTCCAGACCAGCCTGGTCAACATGGTAAAACCCTGTCTCTACTAAAAATACAAAATTAGCCGGGCATGGTGGCACATGCCTGTAATCCCAGCTACTTGGGAGGCTGAAGCAGGAGAATCGCTTGAACCCGGGAGGTGGAGGTTGCAGTGAGTCAAGATCATGCCATTGCACTCCAGCCTTGGTAACAAGCGTGAAACTCCATCTCAAAAAAAAAAAAAATTAAAAATTAAAAATAAGCCAGGCATGGTGGAAAATGCTGGTAGTCCCAGCTACTCAGGAGACTGAGGTAGGAAGATCGTTTGAGCCCAAGAGTTCAAGGTTACAGTGAGCTATGATCACACCACTGCACTCCAGCCTGGGTCACAGAGTAAGGAGATGCTGTATCAACAAATAAATAAATAAATAAATAATTTTTAAAAAGGGCTCAAATAGGTGGTTTCAATCAACAAAAACCATCAAAACCATCAAACACCTAAGAAGTAAGACACTGAGGACCCGATGCTCAGATAAGCATTTGTGCACCTTTTGTATAAACATACAGCTACTTTATAAATATATTGTCAAGAAACCTTCTATTTATATGCAATGAACATATAGTGATTATTTTAAATCTAACATATCTTTTAAAAGCATATGCAGGCATACTTCAGAGATATTGTAGGTTTAGTTCCAGATCACTGCAATAAAACAAATATTGCAATAAAGCAAGTCACAGAAACTTTTTGGTTTCCCAGTGCATATAAAAGTTATGTTTCCATTATACCGTAGTCTATTAAGTGTGCAATAGCATTACGTCTATAAAAAACAACATACATACCTTAATTTAAAAATACTTTATTGCTAAGAAATGCTGATGATTATCTAATCTTCACAAGTTACAATATTTTTCCTGGTGGAGGGTCTTGCCTTAATGCTTAATGATCAGGGTGCTGGTTGCTTAAGGTTGGGGTGGCTGTGGCAATTTATTAAAATAAGACACATATGAAGTTTGCTGCACCAATTGACTGTTCCTTTCATGAAAGATTTCTCTGTAGCATGCAATCCTGTTTCATAGCATTAACCACAGAACAACTTCTTTCCAAGTTGCAGTCTATCCTCTCAAACCCTTCTGGCTGCTTTATCGACTAAGGTTATGTAATATTCTAAATCGTTTGTTGTCATTTCAAGAATGTTCACAGCATATTCACCAGGAGCAGATTTCATCTCAAGAAACCACTTTCTTTGCTCATCCATAAGAAGAAATTCCTTATCCATTCAAGTTTTATCATGAGATTTCAGCAATTCAGTCAGATTTTCAGGCTCCACTTCTAATTCCAGTTCTTTTGCTATTTCCATCACATCTGCAGTTCCCTCCTCCACTGAAAACTTTAATCTCCAAAGTCATTCAGGAGGATCAGGATTGATTTCTTCTGAACTTCTGTTAATGTTGATGTTTTTACCTCCTCCCATGAGTCATGAATATTGTGATAATAATAATAAATACTACTATTATATTATATTATTTATAAAATAATAATAATAGTCAAACATATATTGAGTATATACCACAAACAGAGCTGGTCATATAAAGTAAACAGAATCAATAAGACCTCTATCCTCTAGGAGCTTCTAAATTTTAGAAATTGACAAATATTATCTAAGAAAAATCAAGTCTCCTGTCTCAATACCAGATAGCTTTAATTTTCAATTTTTAGAGTTACTTCTACAAAGAAATAAACAAGTTGAATTTTAGGTTTTCCTATTAGAAACTAAATTGAAAAGTTTTTTTAAATCATTTTAAACATTTCTCCATATATATATATATTTTTTTTATTTATTTATTTTTTTTTTTTTAAGACAGAGCCTTGCTTTGTTGCCCAGGCTGGAGTGCAGTGGCATGATCTCGGCTCACTGCAACCTCCGACTCCTGGGCTCAAGCGATTCTCCCACCTCAGCCTCCTGAGTAGCAGAGACTACAGGCACATGCCACCATGCCTGGCTAGTTTTTGTATTTTTTGTAGAGACAGAGTTTCGCCATGTTGCCCAAGCTGGTCTCAGACTCCTGAGCTCAAGTGATCTGCCCACCTCGGCCTCCCAAAGTTCTGGGATTACCCCCAGTAAATTCTTTACACCTACATACACAGGGTTCAGTAAGATATTTTAAAAATCACTGTCTAATGTCACTACAGCATCATTTTTTGGTTTTGTCTTGTTGTTTGTGTTTTTTTAGAGACGGGGTCTCACTGTCACTCAGACTGAAGTGCAGTGACACTATTATAGCTCACTGCAGCCTCAAACTCCTGGGCTCAGGTGATCCTCCCACTTCAGCCTCTGGAGTGGCTGAATTACAGGCATGCACCACCACACCCAGCTACAGCATCATATTTAAAGGAAAATATAAAATTGACATGTTCCATAAGATCAAACAGAAGCAAACTCAATTTTTTTAAATATAAAATTCACATAATAGGCCAGGCATGGTGGCTTACATCTGTAATCCCAGCATTTTGGGAAGCCAAGGCAGGCAGATCACCCGAGGTCAGGCGTTTGAGACCAGCCTGGTGAAACCCCATCTCTACTAAATATACAAAATTAGCCTGGCTTGGTGGCGGGTGCCTGTAATCTCAGCTACTTAGGAGGCTGAGGCAGGAAGAATCCCTTGAACCCAGGAGATGGAGGTTGCAGTAAGCTGAGATCGTGTCATTGCATTCTAGCCTGGGTGACAGAGTGAGTCTCAAAAATAATAATAATAATAATAATAAAATAAAATTCACATAATAATACCATTCAGTCTATCCAAATTCTTAATAAAATGGTTCTGTGATTTTTTTCCACTGCTGCTATTACAAACTGGATGGTATTTATATAAATTTCTTTATTACTTTAGAAGTATATTTCTTATATTTATTCACTTATCATCATCATTCAAATTTAAGTTCTTTAAAACTAGAGAATTTTTCTTCTGATAGCTGTTAACTGCAGTACAGAAAACCATCATTGGCTATAAATTACATCTTACCCCCATAAAACCAGATTTTGTTGAAGAACTACAGGAAGAAAGACAATGTCACATATTCTCTCCACAAGCTCTGTATTTGGTGAATTTTGCTTTAAAATATTCTAATAATGCTGAATATTAACTATAGGTTGTAATTTGATATCCATGACTTTGTAACAATTGGCATAACAGTCAGAAGCTGTCTCCAAAGAAACCAACCAATGGTCCAAGAACAGGAACACAAAAACATGGGCTGAAATTCATGCTTAAGATACTTTCTTTGTAATACTTCCAAAGATTAGCATGAAGAAGTGACCCTGGAAGAGACAGATGGACAAGGAATTTACCCCTATTTAAGAGATGGAAAATACGTGGACTACAAAGTAGTCTCCTGACCACAGAGTCACATAAATTGTTGGATACATGACTGGGACAAGAACGCAATTCTCCATATTCCCAGCACCTGCCACAATAACACGCAGGGAAGGGACGTTAAAAAATAGAGATGGGCTCAATTGTCACTCGCACACACCCTCCGAGAAGCCAGTTGTGGTGGCTCACGCCTGTAATCCCAGCACTTTGGGAGGCTGAGATGGGCAGATCACTTGAGGTCAGGAGTCTGAGACCAGCCTGGCCAACATGGTGAAGCCCCGTCTCTACTAAAAATATAAAAATTAGCTAGGCATGGTGGCAGGCGCCTGTAATTCCAGCTACTTGGGAGGCTGAGGCAGGAGAATCACTTGAACCCGGGAGGTGGAAGTTGCAGTGAGCCAGAGGTTGCAGTGAGCTGAGATTGCACCATTGCACTCCAGCCTGGGTGACAAGACTGAAACTCTGTCTCAAAAAAAAATAAACATAAAAAATAAAAAGAAAAGAAAAAAAGACAAATTAGGCACGGCAGCACAAGCCTGTGGTCCCACCCAATAGGGAGGCTGAGGTGGGAGGATTGCTTGAGCCTGGAGGTCGAGGCTGCAGTGAGCCATGATCATGCCACTGCACTCCAGCCTGAGTGACAGAGCAAGACCCTGTCTCAAAAAAAAAAAAAAAGACATAAAGTGAACATTTTTTATTTATTCTATTTCTAATATTTATCCATATGTTTAGCCAGAATATATATATATATATTTTTTTTTTTTTTTTTTGAGACGGAGTCTCGCTCTGTCGCCCAGGCTGGAGTGCAGTGGCGGGATCTCGGCTCACTGCAAGCTCCGCCTCCCGGGTTCACGCCATTCTCCTGCCTCAGCCTCCCAAGTAGCTGGGACTACAGGCGCCCGCCACTACGCCCGGCTAATTTTTTTGTATTTTTAGTAGAGACGGGGTTTCACCGTTTTAGCCGGGATGGTCTCGATCTCCTGACCTCGTGATCCGCCCGCCCCGGCCTCCCAAAGTGCTGGGATTACAGGCGTGAGCCACCGCGCCCGGCCTAGCCAGAATATATTTATCTAAATCTGTTTGTCTTTTTAAAGTATGAACCTAAGAAATGCTTTTTTTACATAAAAGTAAAAAGTAACATTAATTCCTAAATGTAGTCAATTATTGGGGTTTTTGATTGATTGTACTCCATATAACATAAATTCTGTGTTTTAAAAAAAGAGTAAAACTAAGCAATACTTTGTTATAACAATAAAATAACTTTAGACAAAGCAGAGGCCACAATCATAACAATTTTTCAACCTTCTCTGTGCATTTCTTAGTATAACATTTAACTAGTTTATTCTCAGCATTTTTTTCCATTTGTTGTAATTCAATAATGGGCTGGGCTCTAGGAAAAATAGAAAATGAAATATGGTCCTAATAAATTTAAATTTGAAATACTAAAATGGAATGTCCCATGAGTACAGTTTTTGTCCCCTCAAAGCAGGGCTACTTTTGATGTCATGGGAGAGTTCAGACAGCGGGAATACAGGGGCAAGGAAGAAAAGGAGAAAGGACGGACAATGACTAGAAGTTGGCATCACATTTCAAAACTTGGGTGCTGAATTGCTCTTGCAGCCCTAAAATTATATTCTGAAATTCAAGAAGCTGCTGATTCTGAATATACTTGAAAGGAAAACAGCCAGGACCTCAAACCCTTGAGGACTTTCATTGATAATCAGTAGAAAGGGTTTAAAGGATCAGAGAGATCTAGAGATACGGGTAATATGTTGAATCATGTGAATTGTGATAAAAAATGTAAGAAGCCACTTCTATATAGACAACATTCCAGAAAAACAATAGAATTAGGCAGAGAGAACAGTGTAATGATCCAACTTTGGAAAAAAGTGAAAAGTGGCTTTTTCTAAACAAAATTTTTAGTATATCTGAAGCAGTTTTATTTTTAGCTGTAAACATATATAATAATAAACACCAGTGTTTGCTCCTCTGTCAATCAAGATAAAAAGTAGAAATTTATATTCTCGGCCTTTTGCTTCTAATTTTAAGCTTTCAGGAAATTATACAATTTGTCCCAGATTGATCCAAAAACGAGTGTCATGGAGCAAATTCGACATGGCAGGCTCATGACAAAATCACCAAATCTCAGGCTGTCATCTTTCCCACAACCATGGTTCCTCTTGGCTTGTCTAGTCTTTCCCAGGAAGACTTTGACAGGGCAGAGGGGATTTTTACTCTTGAATTGTGCCTTCCAGGGAGATCCAAGGGCTGCTCTAAAGACTATATTGTCTTCCCTGCATCTCATTCCCTGCCTGGATGATTAGATTCACTACAGCTCAAGGTTCGCAGAACCAAAACTTACAGTGAAAAATGTGCCTTGCAAGTTGGATTTAGGCTAGATCAACTCCAACTCCTGCCCGTAGGAGGTGTGTGAAAAGAATGCAGACCAAAGGCCGGGCACAGTGGCTCAAGCCTGTAATCCCAGCACTTTGGAAGGCCGAGGTGGGCGGATCACGACGTCAGGAGATCAAGACCATCCTGGCCAACATGGTGAAACCCCTGTCTCTACTGAAAATACAAAAAATTAGCCAGGCCTCGTGGCAGGCGCCTGTAGTCCCAGCTATGCGGGAGGCTGAGGCAGGAGAATGGCGTGAACTCGGGAGGTGGAGCTTGCGGTGAGCCAAGATCGCGCCACTGCACTCCAGCCTGGGTGACAGAGTGAGACTCTGTCTCAAAAAAAAAAAAAAAAAAAAAAAAAAAAAAAAAAAAAAAAAGAATGCAGACCGTAGAGTCAATCCTCAGGCAGCTGGACGCAATGCCAAGAGTTTCCCAAAACACTGGGAATTCAAAAGCATTCATTGGTGTCCCATATTGATAAGAAACCACGATAGTGACTGCATGTTAAGCTGTTGGGAGAGAATGAATGATTAAATCACACTAAACCATTTAAATGATAGGTTAGTAACAGGACAGGTATTTCTAGGTCCTGGCTGCACAGTGGAGTCATATAGGGAAGTTACAGCGAACTAAGCCAGGACGGTATTTCCATCTTGTCTAATTTGGCCATTTAAGGTCTTCCACCTTGTCACCACCTCAGGGGGTGGGGCAGTGGGGAGAGAGAGAGAATATAAAAGAAAAAAGAGGCTGGGTGCGATGGCTCACACCTGTAATCCTAGCACTTTGGGAGGCCGAGGCGGGCAGATCACCTGAGGTCAGGAGTTCGAGACTAGCCTGACCAACACAGTGAAACCCTGTCTCTACTAAAAGTACAGAATTAGCCGGGCGTAGTGGTATATGCCTGTAATCCCAGCTACTTGGGAGGCTGAGGCAGGCAAATCGCTTGAACTCAGGAGGCAGGTGAATTGCTTGAACTGCAATGAGCCGAGATCACGTCATTGCACTCCAGCCTGGAAACAGGAGTGAAACTAAGTCTCAAAAAAAATAAATAAATAAATAAAAATAAAATACAATAAAAAGAAGGAAAAGAAAAAAGAGAGATTGAAAGTAGAAACAAAGTAATCTAATTACATCAATCACTTTTCTCTGTTGAAGAAGTAAAAAAGTCAGCTTGTATATTTATATCTATTCCAGCACCTGTTTAATGTTTTATCATGCGGTGTTTCAATAAAAGTAAATACATCAGAAGACCATTTGAATACCAAAGGAGATCTGAAGAGCTACAGCATAACCCAAAACCCTTCAAAATTGGTTTGGCAGCTGGGCCTGGTGGCTCATGCCTATAATCCCAGCACTTTGGGGGGCCAAGGCCGGTGGATCGCTTGAGCACAGGAGTTCAAGACCACCCTGGGGAACATCACGAAACCCCATCTCTACAAATACTTTTTTGTATTTTTTGCCACCGGGCATGGTGGCACATGATTGTAATCGCAGCTACTCAGGAGACTGAAGTGAGAGGATCAATGAAGCCTGGCAGGTCGAGGCTGCAGTTAGATGGTACTGCTGTACTCCAGCCTGGGTTACAGAATGAGACCCTGTCTTTAAAAAAAAAAAAAAACATATATATATATATATATATATATATATATATATATATGTTTGGCACACTGCACTAACATTTTTTTATTTTAAAAAACCCTTACGTCTAGTCTTAATGAGTTTCATAAAGAATAACTAGAATTTTTTTTAACAATTTTTTTTTTTTTTTTTTTTTGAGACGGAGTCTCGCTCTCACCCAGGCTAGAGTGCAGTGGCGTGATCTCGGCTCACTGCAAGCTCCGCCCTCCCCCCGCCCCCCAACCCCGGGTTCATGCCATTCTCCTGCCTCAGCCTCCCAAGTAGCTGGGACTACAGGCGCCCGCCACCAAGCCCGGCTAATTTTTTTGTATTTTTAGTAGAGACGGGGTTTCACCGTGTTTGCTGAGATGGTCTCGATCTCCTGACCTCATGATCCGCCCGCCTTGGCCTCCCAAAGTGCTGAGATTACAGGCGTGAGCCACAGCGCCCAGCCAACAATTTGATTTTTTTAAGGATCGGGAGATTCTGGGGAAAATTGCATCTTTTAGGAGACTTCTTAACGTCTATCTCATAAAATAACCTCTTACGGGCTGCCAAATATATCACTACAGGTGTGACTCAAAGATCTTCTGTTGTCTAACACAAATAACTAGGAAATAATTGAACTTTTGGAATTGCAGATGACGTTAGAATCTCTATTTTGAAAGAGAGGAAGAGAGGTATGGTTAATATCCCAAAACAGGTTGAGTGCAGTGGCTGATGCCCGTAATCCCAGCACTTTGGGAGACTGAGGTGGGTGGATCACTTGAGGTCAGGAGTTCAAGACCAGCCTGGCCAACATGGTGAAATCCTGTCTCTGCTAAAAATAAAAAATTAGCCGGGTGTAGTGGTGGGTGCCTGTAATTCCAGCTGCTCGGGAGGTGGAGGCTGCAGTGAGCCGAGATCATGCCACTGCACTCCAGCCTGGACGACAGAGCAAGACTCCATCTTGGAAAAAAAATTATTTTTAATATATATATATATTTTAATATATATTAAATATATATTATATATATTAAAGATATATATATTAAATATATATTTAATATATATAATATATATTAAATATATATTTAATATATATTATATATATTATATATTTTTAATATATATTATATATATTTTTAATATATATATTATATATTTTTAAATATATTTAATATATATATTTTTAATATATATATTATATATTTTTTAATATATTTAATATATATATTTTTAATATATATAATATATATTTTTTATGTATATCTAAAATATATATAAATATATATCTAAACTATATATCTAAAATATATATATCTAAACTATATATATATCTAAAATATATATAAATATATATCTAAAAAAATATATATATATATATATATCCCAAAACAACCACAAATGGTAAGTGTATGTCAGGCCCAGTCACCATCCTAAGTGCTTTACGTATGTTATCACATTTAATCTTTACAGTTACCTGTAGGGCAGGTATTACTTTCCCCCCTCTACAGGTGAGAAAACAGGAGCTTATAAAGATTAAGTACCTTATGCAAGTCAATCCCATTAGTAAGTGGACTGAACTCAAATTTATGTGGCTGTGTTCTTAGCCACTATACTTCCTCATAAATCAGGTTCCGCAAGGGAAAAACACACTCACTCAGAGATGCGCTCTCAGACATGCATGTTATTCACAGAACCAAGGAATCTTGGAGTGATCATCCCTACTGTATTTTAATTACCCCAATATTCCAGACATTAATTCTATTAAATATCTAGTCTCAGCTTTCTGTTAGTAAGTTTAGTGAGAAAAAGAAAAGTGCAAAAATAAGTCTAGGTTATCACAGAATATCTTTTTGTGATATTCCTGGTACCTGTACACTTATCTGGAAGAAGGTAGGGGAGAGAATAACTAAGTAAGCATCTCATAAAGTAATATAAAATTAGTTCTATTCTTCAGCTGCAAATAAATCAGTTCTAAGACAAGGAGTTACCTCATAGTAATGGAATTACGCCTTTAGAGTTACTCCCCATACATGGAGAAAGAATAATCGTGCTTATGAGCCCCACACCACAGGAAATATTGGAATATGGTCAATAAAATAGTGATGTTTTTCTCATTTGCATACAGAGACTATAGGACCATACATCAAAATTTATGAGCCTCAATTACTCAACGTTGGAGAGGCAAGCAAGTTAATCTCAACTGGGAAACACAGTCCCACAAATTGTGTATTGTTAAACATATTTTCAAGGACACTAGGGACAACAGTCAGAAGCAGAAATTAAAGAACAAATTAGGGGCTGGGCACGGTGGCTCACACCTGTAATCCCAACACTTTGGGAGGCTGAGGCAGGTGGATCACTTGAGGTCACGAGTTCAAGACCAGACTGACCAACATAGCGAAACCCTGTCTCTGCTAAAAATACAAAATTAACCGGGCATGGTGGTGCATGCCTATAATCCCAGCTACTCAGGAGGCTGAGGCAGGAGACTCGCTTGAACCCAGTAGGTGGAGCTTGCAGTGAGCCGAGATTGTGCCACTGTACTCCTGCCTGGGCAATATAGTGAGACCCCAACTGTACAAAAAAAAAAAATCATAAAAAGAGAAAAAGAGAATATTACTAAAGAGCTAAATTCTCATCTTCCATATCAGGAAGTAAGTAGACAATATCTTAACTGAAAGCTCTTGATATAGCACTATAAGTAATAAGCAGTTGCTCAGTGACGTGGCTATAATTCTCAAAAGTAACAACTAAAAGTTTGAAAGAGGATGCTTCTAAAGAGCCTAAAAATGGAGAAGAGAGGCAGGCAGGTGAGAACTGGTTTTCTTACTTCTTGTAGGATTATTTAACTCTTTAAACTATAAGCATTAATAACTCTAATAAAAATAAAATGTTTTAAATTAAGGTGGATTTTCATCTTTTATACAAGGAAAAGTAAATGAAAGTCTAATGGCCTAAGAGGAGAAAAAAATTATCATAAACTGGGAAGTGTCTGAAAGTGAGCAAATAAGGGAAAGACCATTTTAACTTGAAGAAAGCATGTTTCAAAGCTGGTAGACTAATCCTTTCCTCAGATATCATCCAAAGCCAACAAGAAGAGCAAGAAGCAATAAAAACTTCCTCACCAGTGAAACCGATAGACATCTGTAGCCCGAAACAGTAAAATGCAAAGACCCAACACTCGTGGAGAAGCAGTAACTAGCGTGGCCCAGAGCACGAAGTGAAACCTAAGAGCCTAGACTAGAAGCTAGTATGTTGGCCCTCAGGCTCAAGAACTAGAAGCATCAGATACTGAAGATGGTGACAGAGAGGGTGTTGCTGAAAAGAGAGGGCTTCACTGAAAGTCTATACAAAGAGCATTTGGACTCCAGACCCCAACTCTCCCCTCTGCAGTCAAGGGTCTACCCCTCCCCACCTTCACAAGAGGTAGGAGGTTTATTCTCTGGAGCCACTGAACCAAGCTTGAGATGCCTAATCGTTGGGCAGTAGGCACTGTGTAGGGCAGAGCTCAGGTGCTGAAAGCAAAGTAGAGGCATTAAGTAAAACTCTGTGTACAGAACCACATGATACCAGCCCTGGTCCAGTGGCTCATGCCTGTAATCCCAGCACTTTGGGAGGCCGAGGTGGGAGGATCACCTGAGGCCAGGAGTTCAAGACCAGCCTGGCCAACATGGTGAAACCCCATCTTTACTAAAACTACAAAAATTAGCCAGACGTGGTGGCACGTAATCCCAGTGACTCAGGAGGCTGAGGCGGGGGAATCATTTGAATCCAGGAGGCGGAGGTTGCAGTGAGCCAAGATCACGCCATTGCACTCCAGCCTGTACAACAGAGCGAGACTCGGTATCAAAAAAAAAGAACCACATGATCCCAGCCCAGCTCCAAGGATATCTGCAAACCTCTATGAAAACCTCTACTCCCTTCAAAGAGGAGCACCCAAGAACAGTAAGCACTGTAAACACCCTTCCTATGGAGCCCAAGAAACAGTGAACATCTCAGGGCAACTATGATGCCCCAAAGACAAGAGGCCCATTCTCAAACTTTTTAGACTGCCTACATTAGCCCCTTTTGTCCCCACCCCAAAAAATGACACACTGCATTTCCTAACAAGAGATGAGTAGGGACCCTGGCCATTTTTCATTTAGTTTAGAAAAAAACAACACAGATGTATGTTTTTCTTGCATCCAAGCATTGTGGTTGTCACACTTGTCATTGTTCAAACTATTTCTTCTGCCACAAGTGCCCTCCAGCCCCTCATCTTCCTGGTAAAACCTTCATTCCAAGAACACCCAGAAAGTTGTCTTCTTTCTCTAGTTTTCCTTTTTTCTCTTCCACTTGGCAGAATTAATTACTCTTGCATGTTTATTCCCATAGATCTTTCAGCTTACCTTCAAGACAGCACTTTGTTCTACTGTACCCTTGTCATTACCTTGGGTGTGTGTATCTGTACTGGATTACGAACTCCTTGGTGAAAAAAAAAAATGTGTCCTATCCTTCCTTGAATCGCCAATATCTCCAATCTCTTGGATCAAAGTCTGATGAGAATCAGCTAGTGCCATCAAAGGACTCGCTATCATCTTCCAGGAATTCCACAAAGCCTGAGGAGCTGCCTAACACTAAATATATTTATTACTTTTGTGTAATAAAAACCATGAAAGTTTTTTTTTTTTGGAGACAGAGTTTTGCGCTTGTCACCCAGGCTGGAGTGATATGGCGCGATCTCAGCTCACTGCAACCTCTGCCTCCTGGGTTCAAGCGATTCTCCTGCCTCAGCCTCCCAAGTAGCTGCGACTATAGACACACGCCACCATGCCCGGCTAATTTTTGTACTTTTAGTAGAGACAGGGTTTCACCATGTTGGCCAGTCTGGTCTTGAACTCCTGACCTCAAGTGATCCACCTGCCTTGGCCTCCCAAAGTGCTGGGATTACAGGCATGAGCCACTGTGCCCAGCCTGAAAGTTTCTTTAAGCTAGAAATAACACCCTAGAAATATATGTACCCATGAGCTTCACTTTCATTCTTGGGGAAAAAATCACCACCCAATCAATTCAGGAAACACTTTTAAGAAAGCTTGGTCCTGAATAATAAGCAGCATGGTTCCTAATAACTAACCTGTTTGGATCATCTAGTTCCCCACATCAGAGGGACAGTTTTGGGAGAATAAGAAGGGGAATTTAACAAAGCCCCTGTCAGCATCTTAGAAAGTATGGGACATGCTTGTAACCACATGCTGGTTGTCTGACTACACAAGGAAGGCCTGGAAGAAGCGATCTATAGGACTTTCTCTATGGCCTATGCTCTAGACCTTATTGTGTTTTTTGTTTGTTTGTTTTGTTTTTTTTCACTTGCTCAATCTCTTTATTTAGTGGCACACATAGAATGAATGAATTAGCTCTTACTTGCAGCATACTTAATAAGTCTGATCTTGCTTATAGAAATTGGATCTTAATATTTCATTCTAGGCTGGGCGCGGTGACTCACGCCTGTAATCCCAGCACTTTGGGAGGCCGGGGCGGGCGGATCACGAGGTCAGGAGATCGAGACCATCCTGGCTAACGCGGTGAAACCCCATCTCTACTAAAAATACAAAAAATTAGCCGGGCGCGGTGGCGGGCGCCTGTAGTCCCAGCTACTCGGGAGGCTGAGGCAGGAGAATGGCGTGAACCCGGGAGGCGGAGCTTGCAGTGAGCCGAGATCGCGCCACCGCACTCCAGCCTGGGCGACAGAGTGAGACTCCGTCTCAAAAAAAAATAAATTAAAAAAAAAAATACATTTCATTCTCAGAATACTTCAAAACGTAAGCCACAGTTTTTCTTTCAAGGATGTGGAAAGCATTCCTCATTCAAATCTGATTAATGGTTTTATAAAGTATGTACCTCATTTTTATTAGACATTATCTTCATGCTGGATTCTAATATTCTTTTTGATGGTGATGTGTTCAACGACAGAAACTTATAGAGAGAAAATTCCTTCTCAATTTATAAACAAAAATTTTAAAAGCAGCATTTTTGATGTGGTAGGAAGATATTTATGACAAAAGCAGCTACTGCCCTAAACTGGCAAAAACAACAAAAGAACAAACTGTTATTTAACCTTTAAATAACGAGTCTCTATTTGCTATAAATCTACAAATATTTTAAATATATTTCCTCCTACTGCAATAAAAATTAAGATAACTCTCTGTTTAACAGTTTTTGAAGAGTTAATTTTATAAGGAAATAAAAAAGATTGACTTGCCTCCTGAATGTCCAGTGATAAACTGAACCCTAATTTCCCTACCTCAACAACATAAAAATGATGTAAAGTGGATCAAAGTACGTAACGTTAATATTAAAAATGCTTCTTCATATGGTCTTTCACTAAAATAATCAACGTAAAAATAATGTAAAAATGTGTTTTTGCTTGAAGATGTAGTGAACGTTCAAGGAATCACAATTTTTGAGCTTTTACATCCAGAGTACTATACTATGTGAAAATACTACAGTGTCTAGGCCTTATTGTTAACAGCAGAACTACTCTTAGTGTGTTTAGCCCTGGAGGATCACAGCAGAGGCCAATGAGAAACATCCCACTTGATATTGCCACAGTCCAGAGCAGTTGGACCCTTTCAAACAATTCCCTTTGACAATGAGCTCACCATTAAAAATCTTAACACAAGAGGTAACCAACATCCCTCCTGAGAGGGATGCATTAAATACACAGAAAGGAAGAATTTACAGTACAGGAACTAGGAGTAACAGAACAATCTGAAAGGGAGTTTAAAATAAGTTTGGAGCTGGGAGAGGTAGCAAGAAGCTGTAGTCCCAACTACTGGGAGGCTGAGGCAGGAGGATTGCTAGAGCCCAGAAGTGCAAATTCAGCCTGGACAACATAGCAAGACCCTGTCTCAATTTTAAAAAGAATACAAAGGCGTGCAGTGAAAAGAGCATTACATCATCCTGGACAAATCACTTTAAATGATAATATTAATAACTTTGTTTGAAATGTGTATAGAGCTTGAGAAAGAATAGAATCTACAAGGCAAGAACAGGACATTATTTTTTAAATTATCTCCATATTTTTAAATGGGCTAAATGAAATAGTAGAGATGAAAATATTGAGGCTGGGCACAGTGGCTCACACCTGTAATCCCAACACTTTTCAAGGCCAAGGTGGGTGGATCATGAAGTCAGGAGTTTGAGACCAGCCTGGCCAATGTGGAGAAACCCTGTCTCTACTAAAAATACAAAAATTAGCCGAGTGTGGTGGCGCGTGCCTGTAATCCCAGCTGCTTGGGAAGCTGAGACAGGAGAATCACTTGAACTCAGGAGGCAGAGGTTGCAGTGAACCAAGATTGCTCCAGTTCAGGCGACAGAGTGAGACTCTGACTCAAAAAAAAAAAAAAAAAAAAAAAAAAAAGAAAAGAAAAGAAAAAAGAAAGGAAAATATAGTCACTTGGATTTTCAAACTTTTCTATAGGTAGAACATTATTCTCGGGCCTGGTACAAAATATAGCTTTTGGACTCCATGTACATTCAGCTTTTTTTTTTTTTTTTTTTTTTGAGACAGGTTCTCACCCTGTCACCCAGGCTGGAGTTCAGTGGCACGATCATGGCTCACTGCAGCTTCAACCTCTTGGGCTCAGGCAATCCTCCCATTTCAGCCTCCCATGCAGCTGGGACTACAGGCATGAGCCACCTTAGTGTCATATTCAGCTAATTTTTTTTTTTCTTCAGTTGAGATGAAGTCTCACTTTGTCTCAAACTTCTGGTCTTGAACTCCTGAGCTCAAGCAAACCTCCCGCCTCAGCCTCCCAAAGTGCTGGGATTACAGGCATAAGCCACCACACCTAGACCCTGCATTCAGTTTCAAAGAATCTTTAACAGAGTTCTCCAGCCTGGATTCCTCACTAGGGTTCCTTCTCATACAACATTTCCAAGAAATTGTTGCATGCTACCATGTGACCAGCATTAAGCTGGAGGGGAGGGGAGTGGTAATAAAATGAAGGCCAGCCTCTGCCCTTGAAGAATTTACTGTCTAGTAAGAAAGTGATTTCTGTGAGAGAGGTACAAGAATCGAATATATTCTAATGATGAAACCTGTCATTGTAACAGTTACCACGTGCCCAGCTCTATATAAAATGCCCACTCTATTGCATTTTGTAATCCTCATAACACTATAAGATCCGTATTATCATCCCCATTTTACCATGGAGAAAACAGGTGCTCAGAATGTAATAGTAACTTTCCCAGGTCAAACGAACAGTAAATTTTAGAGTTAGAATTTCAACCCATGTCTTCTGACCCCAGCACCACCCACCCACCTCCTCTTTTTTTGCTATACTTGACTGCATTTGCACAAAATGCTTTCAGGTGCTCGCTTCAGCAGCACATCTACTTAAATTGGAACAATACAGAGATTAGCATGACCCCTGGGCAAGGATGACACACAAATTCATGAAGCATTCCATAAAAAGAAAACAAAAAGTAAAGATGCTTTTGGAGCTTGCAGGAAGGAGAAATGGTTTGACCTCATAAAAGTCTCTGTCTTCCTCTTAATAGGACCCCTTTTTTTCTACACCATAATAAAACAATCATCACTCAAAGCATAATGTTTTGTCTAAAAAGTCAATAAATTATGCATAAGTCATGGTTCCAACTTATAAGGAGCTTCTACTTTAGATAGAGAGAAAGTGAAGAGAAAACTGTATCTTGTGTAAATATTATAATATGTAAATAATATATGTGTAATGTATAAAAATGAATGCTAAGAAGAACAGTAAAGATAGTCAAATAGTCAAAGAAAGGAGCATGAAGGAAAGGACAGGAGAAGAAAAGCAAAGGAGCCAAAGAAGAATAGAAAGATCATAGTGGGCCAGGTGCAGTGGATCGCGCCTGTAATCCCAGCACTTTGGGAGGCAGAGGTGGGTGGATCACCTGAGGTCGGGAGTTTGAGACCAGCCTGGCTAACATGATGAAACCCCATCTCTACTGAAAATACAAAAATTACCCGGGCATGGTGGCAGGTGCCTGTAATCTCAGCTACTCGGGAGGCTGACACAGGAGAATCACTTGAACCTGGGAAGCAGAGATTGCAGTGAGCCGAGATTAAGCCACTGCACTCCAGCCTGGGCAACAAGAGTAAAACTCCATCTAAAAAAAAAAAAAATAGTCGTAGGGAAGTCGACTCAAAGGTTTGGGAAATTTAATCCCTGTGTTCACATGAACATCGGCAGTTTTTCAATCCTGGCTCTTCTATTTACCAACTGTTTGAAAGGTATTATTAACCTCTGAACCTCAAGTGTCAATTTCTTTATCTCTCAAATGGGGCTAAGAATTCCAGCTTACAAGGAGCCTCTACTTTAGATAGAAAGTGGGGGGGGGATCTATAATCATGTGTTATTATTATATTTATATAAAATTTATGCAATATAAATATTATGCAGGCTTTTGTCAGAACTAAATGAGATACTTTATGTGACACGCTCAGTGCCCTACACATCCCCAGAAGTCAACAAATGTCAGAAATACACATGTATATTATTCCATCAAAAGCTGAGAAAATTGAGGGAAATGTAATTATAGCCTTCTAGAATATGAAGGGTTTTGAAAGAAAAGATGATAACTGTTTTCCATGTTCACAGAGGAGATAACCAAAAAAAAAAAAAAAAAGGATTTAAATTAATGTGATAGGAGTATCAGAGGTTGGAATACATTTCAGAGAGTTGGAAGCGGGGGCAGGTTATTAAATGAGAAGAGATTGCTGTCTCTTTGGACACATTTTAGAGAAGGCCTTCGTAAGGCAGGGGGGATAGATTCCTTCTAGGACTAAGACGATAGGATTCTGTGAATATATAAGTTGGTATTTGCCAATAAAAACTTCCTCCTGTGTGGCCCTTTTTATCCAATAATGATTTCCTGGTCTACTTTGGCTGCCAAATGTATCCAAAATGTAATCAGTGTGTAGATTCATAAGTGAAATTGCAAGCTTTAGAAATCATGGCTAATGCTCTAATCATTTGTAGTAGAGTTTTAAAGCCAGCCAGTGTTTAAGGGGTATTGGGTTTTAAACTCAGCTGTAGTTTTGTTTTAACCTTTTCTCCTTCCAAAGCCTCAGATTTCAGCAAGAATCCTCTTCCTCAAGCACTTTCTTTTCTCATTAGAATTACTCCCAATTTCATCTTGAGTCAAAGTAAAATTTCACAACTCTGGGCCTCCAGGGTATCAACCAAATCAAACCACTCCCGCTACAACCTAATTCTCTTACACTTTTTCTAACCAGGAAAAACTACTAACCTCTGTTAATCCCCGCATCAAGAGCATCAGCTGCTCGGCCTTAACGCTTTGAGATGCCGAAGTAGAGACAGGCTGACCTGGCAGAGTCCAGCCAGGTGAGGCAAGGAAGGACCCAGCAGCAGGCAGCAGAAACTGGACTTCCAGGCACTAGGTTCTCTCTGGAACTAATTTGCCTGTGACCTAAACCTTCCCACTTTGAATGTGCAAGTCCCTGAATCTAGTTTGTCAGGCTGATAGCTGCCTCCTGTGTCTGCTTCTCTTATTTTCTGCTTTTGCTTAACCCCAGTCCTAACCTCTGGCTCTCTAGCAGTCCCTGGAATACCCTCACTTCCAGTCCTGATGGCCCCCTGGTATTCCTGATTTTGGAGCTTAGCATGGCTAGGAAGGAAGATTTCACGCCAGCATTTTCCAAATGCCTTCTGCACGACGCCAGTGTAGACATGCTCCTCAGACTAAATTCTCTTACAGATTCACTATGTGCAATAGCCCCATAAAGGTCTAGGACACCCTAGAGGACACCATAGAGGTCTAGAAATTAAGGGAGAGAAAATGACCTGTTTTTAAGTTTGTCTAACCCAGGGTTTTCCTGGCTAGATTGAATGGCTATTCTTTGGCCAAAATGTCTACTTCTCCCACATTAATCTCTTCCATCTAAATAGTGATTTAGGATTCATACGGGGCTCAAACCTTGGCTCTAAGACATACCACCTCTGGGTCCAAGTCACAAGTTCACCTCCTCAACCACAGTTTCCATATCAGAAAATCAATGCTAACATGAATTTATATCAGTATCACCTTGGGTTGTTATGAGAATAAGATGCCTTTCCAGCATGTAGTAAGCTCTCATTTAACGCTCTATTTTTACTTATTTCTCTCCATGACCACCACAATCCTTCTAGATAAAGTTCTACCCACTCTAGATTACTGTATCCAATTCCAGCCAGCCTCCCTGCTTCGGGTGTCTTTTCTGCTCCAGTGATTCCTGCATACTGTTGCCAAAGAATCATTACAAAATACTGCTTTTCTCAGGTCCTATGTTCTTTTCTTTTTTTGTTTTGTTTTGTTTTGTTTTGTTTTTGCTTTGTTTTGTTTTGTTTTTTTGAGATGGGTCTCGCTCTGTCACCCAGGCTGGAGTGCAGAGGCATGATCTCCACTCACTGCAACCTCTGCCTCCTGGGTTCAAGCAATTCTTGATTCCCAGGTCCAGCTACTCGTTTCTGCCTCCCGAGTAGCTAGGATGACAGGCACCCGCCACTATGTCCGGCTAATTTTTGTATTTTTAGTAGACACGGGGTTTCGCCATGTTGGTCAGGCTGGTCTCGAATTGCTGACCTCAGATGATCCTCCCACCTCAGCATCCCAAAATGCTGGGATTACAGGCATGAGTCACTGCACCCGGCTGAGTCCCTGTGTTCTGAAGTCTTTAAAAATAAGTGGGCCAGGTGCAGTGGCTCCATGCCTGTAATCCTAGCACTTTAGGAGGTCAAGGTGGCAAGATTGCTTGAGCACAGAAGTTTGAGATCAGCCTGGGCAACATAGCAAAGTGCATCTCTACAAAAAAATTTAAAAATTCACCAGGCATGATGACATATGCCTGCAATCCCCGCTACTGGGAGGCTGAGGTAGAAGGATCGCTTGAGCCTGGAGTTTGAGGTTACAGCGAGCCATGATTATACCACTGCACTCCAGCCTGGGTGACAAAGTAAGACCCTGTCTCTTTAAAAAAATAAATAAATGAAAGAAAATAAAAGAAAGTAAATTAAATTAGGTCCAGACTCCTCTGCCTGACTATGAAAGTTCTCTGAGTTCTCTGTTCTTCTTCCTCCCTGCCTGGCTACCAAAGCCCCGCATTACCAGAGTCAAGTCTCCCTCTCTGCCTTATCTTCCAACACAAGCACACTGTCCCTTCACATACCGGTCCTGTGGAAAACATGCTTTTTTTTTCCTTAATTTTTTTTTAATTTTTTTATTCTGGGCTGGGCACGGTGGATCACGCCTTTAATCCCAGCAATTTGGGAAGCCAAGAAGGACAGATCTTTTGAGCTCAGGAGTTCCAGACCAGGCTGGGCAACATGGTGAAACCCTGTCTCTACAAATAATGCAAAAATTAGACAGGTGTGGTGGCACGTGCCTGTAGTCCCAGCTATGCGGGAGGCTGAAGTGGGAGGATGGGTTGAGCCCAGGAGGTTGAGGTTGCGGTGAGATCATGCCACTGCGCTCCAGCCTGGGCTGGACCCTGTCTCAAAATATATATATATTTTATTTATTTATTTATTTATTTATTTATATTCTATATATATTCTGTATATATATTCTATATATATTCTGTATATATATTCTATATATATTCTGTATATATATTCTGTATATATTCTGTATATATATTCTGTATATATTCTGTATATATATTCTGTATATATTCTATATATTCTATATAGATTCTATATAGATTCTATATATTCTATATAGATATTCTATAGATATTCTATATAGATATTCTATAGATATTCTATATAGATATTCTATAGATATTCTATATAGATATTCTATATATTCTATATAGATATTCTATATATTCTATATAGATATTCTATATAGATATTCTATATATTCTATATAGATATTCTATATAGATATTCTATATATTCTATATAGATATTCTATATAGATATTCTATATAGATATATTCATTCAAACAAAAATTTGAATGTTTGTGGGTATATAGTAGGTCTATATATTTATGGAGTACATGGAAAATGTGCTTCTTTAATTCACGTGTTTGGTGAAGCATTCCTGAACTACACTGGTCCATACAGACCACTTCCTTCTTTCAACGTCCTGTGGTCTGTTCCACACAATTTAGCCCTTAATTATATGCTGTCTTCCATACTCCACTAATTGTTTCCTGTATCTTAGTTTCATCTTCTCAAATACGTTGTAAACAACTTGAGGGCAGGGACCACATCGCACACTTTTCTTCTTAATAACCCGAGACAGGCACACGAGTCAGGCACTTAATTCGTCTTTGTCAATTAACTGAAAGTTAGTCTAACCAGACTGCCAAGGAGAGATCACAGGACTTGTACGTAATTGGTCTACACAACTTGAAATACCCTCAGGTAACCCACGCTTCTTACATGTATGTTTTTGTTGAACCTAATTTACCTGTTGTCTAAATATTCCCATGCTTTAGCAACCTTTCAGCATATCGATTTAAGGGTTGAAAATATTGATATTCCAAGATCCACATCCCCTGTGACTTGTTTATAAATAGTAATGAGGGATGAGAGCCCAATTCAGCTTCTCCCAGCTCTTTCGGGAGCTGCACTTCTGTCTTGGGAAGTTTATGCAAATGATTCAATGAGTTGGTGGGAGACTTAATTACTCTCTAGTGAAAACCAGACTGCTCATTACCATCTGTTTCTTCAGGGAGAGCCAGCCACCACACAGTAATCTGCTGTAAAGCTGCAATCCCAGTGGTAAAGTACTTTGCCATCCTTGGATGAAAGGAAACGTACTGGTCGAGACACTATTATTATTGTCATAAATAATGGTGCTTTGTATTTTATCAAAGGAGCTCAGAGTGACTTGCAAACATCAACTAATTAATCCTTTAAAAAAAAACTGTGAAGTAGGTAAAAGGGAGATATTATTATCCCCATTACATGGCAAGGGAGACTGAGACACTGATGAATTCATCGACTTACCCAGTCACATGTCATAGTCAGAAATAGAACCCAGGTCTCCCGGCACCCCCTTTGAACAGACCACACTGCTTCTTGTAAAGTATTAAAAAAACAAAGCTTGATTTATGACATATAAAAATAAACCTTGAGAAATTAAACCACATCTAACCTTTCAATAACTGTCATGTAATAAAACAGTAGACGTGGGAAAAACAACATCTTGAAGGAAAGATGTGTGGGTAGAACAGTTTAATAAATACAATGCTTTAATCAAAACTTTCCAAAAGGAACTGGTGACTCTTTAAGGAATCTGATATTTAATCATTGCTGTTCTAATGGTTTAAAACAAAGAGGTATAATCCACCGAGTTTTAAACAGAAACTAGTCTAACAAGTTCTATACTTTATTTTTGAACTCTATTTCCTTATTTTCCCGTGTTCTCAAGAACATTTTTAAAGTTTATCCATGTGATGCAAATGTCACGTGGAAGATATAAATACTACTCTTCAGATATTTTGCATTCTTCCTGATTCAAAGTCATAGTTAATATTAATGCAATTCAAAAAATTGACAAAAAACTGTGTCTCCAAGGAAACTAGTGGAGGAGGGGGAGAGAGATATGAATCTGTGATTTGATTAATAATTAGACACTCAGCCATTTTGTCACTCTCCATATCATCCACGAATATGCCATCATGTCCATGGCAGAGCCAGCAAATCTCCAAATAACCAGAAACCTCTAGCAGGTGACTCTAAGCGAGTTGTATTTTTTTTTTTTTTTTTTTTTTTTTGAGAGAGTCTAACTCTGTTAACCAGGCCGAAGTGCAGTGGCCAGATCTTGGCTCCCCGCAACATACGCCTCCCGAGTTCAAGCGATTCTCCTGCCTCAACCACCCAGGTAGATGGGATTACAGGCGCCTGCCACTACACCTGGCTAATTTTTGTATTCTTAGTAGAGACTTTTTATAGAGAATTTGTAGTGACTTTTTATATAGAATTGCTTGGATTACTGTATCATCTTGTAAAAATTCTATGAAGCAAATACCAAGAAATAGAATTCTATGTAGGGCAATTCTGAAATTAAAAAATTACCAAAAGGGTATGGGAATTGATTAAATTAAAACAGGGGCCGGGCACGATGGCTCAAGCCTGTAAACCTAACCCTTTGGGAGTCCAAGATGGGTGGATCACCTGACGTCAGGAGTTTGAAACCAGCCTGGCCAACATGGTGAGCCCATCTCTATAAAAATATAAAAATTAGCCGGGCATGGTAGCGGGCACCTGTAATCCCAGCTACTCGGGAGGCCAAAGCAAGAGAATCGCTTGAACCTGGCAGGCAGAGGCTGCAGTGAGCTGAGATCGCACCACTGCACCCCAGCCTGGGCTACAAGAGTGAAACTCCTTCTCAAAAAAAAAAAAAAAGAAAAGGGAAATTAAGGTCCTGCAGGGTGCAGTGGCTCACACTGTAATCCCAGTGCTTTGGGGAGCAGAAACGAGAGGATCCCTTGAGCCCAGGAGTTCGAGACCAGCCTGGGCAACTTAGCAAGACCCTATCTAGGCTGGACGTGATGGCTCACACCTGTAATCCCAGCACTTTGGAAGGCCAAAGTGGGTGGATGACCTGATGTCAGAAGTTCAAGACCAGCCTGGCCAACATGGTGAAACACCACCTCTACTAAAAAAGTACAAAAAATGGCCAGGTGCAGTGGCTTGTGCCTGTAATCCCAACACTTTGGGAGGCCAAAGACAGCAGATCACCTGAGGTCAGGAGTTCAAGACAAGCCTGAACAACATGGAGAAACCCCATCTCTACTAAAAATACAAAAATTAGCTCAGTGTGGTGCCGCATGCCTATAATCCCAGCCACTCGGGAGGCTGAGACAGGAGAATCACCTGAACCCGCAAGGCAGAGGTTGCGGTGAACTGAGATCATGCCATTGCACTCCAGTCTGGGCAACAAGAGTGAAACTCTGTCTTAAAAAAAAAAAAAAAATTAGCCGGGCATGGTGGTGCATGCCTGTAATCCCAGCTATTTAGGAGGCTGAGGCAGGAGAACCGCTTGAACCTGGGAGGCAGAGGTTGCAATGAGCCAGGATCGCACCACTGCACTCCAGCCTGGGCAACAGAGTGAGAATCTATCTCAAAAAAAAAAAAAAAAAAAAAAAAGGCCTTATCGCTACAAAAAAAAAAATTAAAAATTAGTCAGTCATGGTGGCACATGCCTATACTATATTCCCAGCTGCTCAAAAGGCTGACATGAAAGGATCGCTTGAGCCCAGGAATTTGAGGTTACAGTGAGCTACAATCGAACCACTGCACTCCAGCCTAGGCAAC